>NC_000007.14:90082536-90385566 GCF_000001405.40 Homo sapiens
CTCTTACTGCAGTCTACACCACAGCTTGAGGGTCCTGTTGGGTAGTATCAGCATTATCTTCCTAGGATTGATTCTGAAACAGCTACATTTTATATAGGAGCCCCCTATATATGGATATCACTAAAGAACACCACACCTCTCTGGTTAAATTTGAAAGGATCCCTTTATTCATTTTGTATGTTATCAAACAAGAAACAGAAGAACATTCATTCCGGGACACTGTAGCCAGCATGGGAAAACACTGCAATTGAGCAGTGTACCATGGCAGACAAATTTTTGAAATCTGAATTTTTGTTTCTTCCTATCTTTTTCCTTTTCCCTTCCCCAACTGAAAAGAAAGTGGACCCTGTGCTTCTTTGCTTCAGGGAAAGGTATGGGATGTGGATTCCTTGAAGGAAGTAGGACCCCATGGAACCAAAAAGAAACCTGAAGAAAAAGACAGAACTTTCTCTGAATTAACAACAACAACAAAAAAGGCTCTACAAACTGAGAAAGACAAAGTCTGTGGATGTCTTCAGTGATGGGGCTTGTTTCCTGCTCACTAAAAATGTGGCAGGACCTCAGAAGAAAGAGCCAATTAGTATGGGTTGTGGGGTAAGGTGCCTCACCCAAAAACATCATACTCCAAGACTGTCAATGAAGCAGTAGAGAAGTGGCTAGAAGGGCAGGAAGGAGGACTAGGCAGATGGGACTAACAGGTCCTCCATCAGCACTCATGTGAAAAGCTAACATAATCACAATTATCCTCACAACACCTTTAAATGCTCATTAAGTACAACCTACAAACATATAATCTCTCAGTAAATTCAAGTCAGCCAGCTTTCCTCCAACACTGGAACAGATCATATTTCTTCCACTGAACCCCAGATCAAGTACCTGGATTATGGTAAAGGGTGATGTGCAAAAAAACACCCATCAGAAGTGCACTCAGTTTAGCTAGATGCTTACTGAAAATGAATGATGGAGCAGATACAAAGCTTGCACTTCAGGTTCACTCCTGTTACCTTCTTGAATGCCCTACAAATAGAAATAATTCCCTGATTGATTTTTCTCACTTTTTTTTTTTAACAGAGTTGAATTTCACCGGATTGCATGAAAGAATTCAACTAGATTAAAAGATAAATACATTAAGCAGGAACTTCCATGAGGAGAGCTTCCTGAATAACCTATGTTATTACGTGGTTATCATGTGATGTGCAAAATCATTGGTCATGTTTTTGTTCTGAAAGTAGAATGGAGAGTTGAGAATTTGGAAATGCTTACTTCTCAAAGACACAGTGTGTTTTGTTCAAAAGGGAATTAGCTTTAGTGCTAACTCGACTTAGGGTGAAGTGAAAGACTTCAGTTTGCCTGTGTGCTATGTGTACTGATCTCAGGCAAGTTACTGAATCTCTTTATTCCCCAATTACTTCATCTATGACAATGTATTAAGTTGGGGAGTGGGGGAATAAATAATAACTTTGAAAATACACACAAACTACATGCCATAGCCTAGTCGCTGGAATGCAGCTATTGTTGGTTTGTTTCTCCACGCTACTCTCCTCTCAAACCTTATTTCTTATTCTACCATTGCCATTCTTGTTTTATTGAAATTCAGAGAATGTCATTTTAATTTTCTAATGTTTGCTATAATGCTTGCAATGGCTTAGGCTTCATGTAAAATTTACAAAATCTTGTTATATTTTTGCATCTTCTTACAGCTAAAATTTTAATTCATTTTCTTCAAAAACTTCAATACTTTTTAGCTGTTAGCTATAAAGCAAATAAAAGATGGACAGAATAAGCAATTTAATAAAAATTGGATTTGCCTTTTTAAAAGAAAGGTTTTAATCTTCCTAAATTGGCCCTTTGATGTAGATAATTTTCAAAAGTGGGACACTTAATAGATTAAAAGTTCATGTTAAAGTCTTTCCTCGGAGTAATCAAGATTTGGTAACCCTTTAGAACTAGAATCATTAAAAACAGCAAAGAGGAGTTATTAGATGTGAAAGATCAAGATTTTCAATAAGCATGGTAGACCTGCAAATTTTAGCAAGCTGAAGATAACATTTTCACTGCACATTTCTTTAAAAGAAGATAAAGAGCATTGAATCAATATATCAGTGAAGAGATTATTATTTTTTTACAAGCTGAAGGTTGCTACAGGTCATTCCCAGTAAAGCAAACAGAATTTGTTAATTTAATCCAACAGACTTGGCAGTGAGACCAAACAGGAATTTAATCAGCAAGAGAAGGTGGTAAGCATCTCTAAAAATTGAGTGATCGCTGTGCAAACAGTAAATATCATTATGGAAGGGTGAGGAAATAAAAAGAGTGTTCCTTTCATGATTTTCATCAAGCTCATCAAATATAATAAATGATTCCAAATAAACCATTTCTAGGACTGCAACAGTGACTTAATGTTACTTGTGCTAGAAAATTAAAAATTATAGTTTTCCAGTCCCTCACCTTTCTTAAATAGTTTTCTTAAAAACTGCAAGGTTATGAAATGAACAATTAAGTGTCTTATATGCTAAGTAAAAACAGTAAATGACATTTTAGACTTTCTCCTCTCAACAAAATGTGCCAGTTCTCTGATGCCAACTTGAAGGCCTTTGGTACAAAGACTAACACAGAGACAAGGCTAAGATGTATAAGGTTAACATTAGCTATTTAGTTCTATAGTAATTGCTCTAACCATCAAAATTAAGAGTATTTTTATTTTTATTTTTTTGAAACAGAGTCTCACTCTGTCACCCAGGCTGGGGTGCAGTGGGGAAATCTCGGCTCACTGCAACCTCCATCTCCCGGGTTCAAGCAATTCTCCTGCCTTAGCCTCCCAAGTAGCCAGGATTACAGGCCCCCACCACCACACTTGGCTAATTTTTGTATTTTTAGTAGAGATGGGGTTTCACCGTGTTCACCAGGCTTGTTTCAAACTCCTGACTTCAAGTGATCCGTCCGCCATGGCTTCCCAAAGTGCTGGGATTACAGGCGTGAGCCACTGCACCTGGCCACTAAGCGTAGTTTTAAAGCACGTATATCATTATAAAAGGATAAGTGAAAAGTATTTATCATTTATCCTCCTAACCCCCACCGCCACCATTTCCATGAAGTAATCATGAAGGCATATTCAGAATCTTCTCACTTCCTGTTACCACAGAGTTTCCAGCTTCACCTGCCTTTCTTTCTTTCCTTCTCATTTCAACCTTTTGTAAAACTCTCCTTTAATTGCAGGCTCTCCTTATCTCAATCCAGTCTCCTTGAGGCCCCTTCTTTAAAAACATGCCTTTGGAATTCTCTTGCTGAACGGGCTGTGTAGGTGTATATTATATCTAAAACAAAAAGACTTTCTCAATGGTGTTTTGTTGTCTTCTCTCTAGCTATGAACACACAATGTTATCATTAAACCAGTGAATTCACTATCCTATGAAACCTCAATAAACAAAATTTAATTAGCGTTTCCCATGAGTGACAAACAAAAGTAAATTGTGTAATAAATGGCAAAGGTCCACATCTTTATTTAAAATTCTCATGGAAGTCACTTTTAAGTGGACCAAAGTAAATGGTCAACTTACCTTGAAACCCTAGAAGAAGGTTGTCTGGCTTCATACAAAACTAGACCAAGATATGAAGAGAAAATTAAAAACTATATTAAGTTAAGCTACTGAGAAGAAAGAAAATCAAGGGGAAAATCAAGGGATGCTATTTTAAAGGTCCGACTCAGAAAATAGATTGAAAATCTTAGCTTTAGGGGAAAGGAGAGATGCTTTTTCATAAACATTCTGTGTCTAAAATTGCGCCGTAAAATACATGCTCATTTATTTCTAACCCAGCTTTTACACTGTCTTGAATCATTTATCTCCACATTTCATCTCCTAGAGGAAGAGAAATTTCTTTCTTATGATTATACTGTTAAATTGTCTTCTCTTTAGAATTATCGAAAAGGATGGAACATTCTGCAGAATTTCAGTTAGTATAAGTGTCTAAATATCCATTTAAAAGTTTATGATACCTTTCAAAAAGGGCCACAAAATCTTCTCCCATCCATATATGCACATCATCCCCTCACAATGTGCTTTTGCAGCTTATTCCATCAAGAGGTAGATTTTTGAAGAGAAAAACACTGAGAGTCGACAGAGAGGCAATGCAAACACAGAAGCTGAAGAGAGAGGTATCCGGGAACCTTGCATGTGGTTGTAGAGCACCAGGATTAGTTCTCATCCCTGAATATGTCCTAAGGAAAGGATGTGTGAAGTGATGGTACAGAAGCCTACTTTCACCATGAACCTCTGAGATCTTAGCTACAAGATCCCATGACCCCCATAGACATTTTAATTGGCAAGGGGATCTGCCCAGACAGTAGGCAGAGACAGAATTCCAGCCTGTACAGAGCCCAGGTGGATTTGCAAGTAGGGCAGCTGCAGCAAAATATGACCATAGGTTACCAAACCCCTAGGCTCCCCAACTTCCTCCAAATAGTTCTAACCCCAGCTGACCACAAGGCCAGGAGAGAGCAGGGCCATCTTTCCCATGTGACTGGGGCACTTCTCTTCTGCATGCCTCTCTGCCCACCAGCCACTTGAAAGGCCCCTGGCTGGCTGTTCCCACAAGAGCATGTATACGGCACAGCCTCCACTGCCCAGTCTGAGTGCTTTGCCAGTGGCCCCACCTCAGTGTTTTCCTGGTGGCCTGGGAGCACTAAATCTCCCCTAGCATAGACAATGCCCAACCCCAAGGGGCCAGAGGACAAAGCTGTGGGCCTGGTCCCAAAGCCCCAGGGTAATAGCATACAGCTAAGGTGTGTCAATATGAGATCCGTGGCCAGCGCTTGAGCAAGGGAAGAGTCCCCACTCTCAAAACATTGAGAAAAGTTAGACACGGGTTCATGAACTGACACAGGAACAAGGTATACTTTCTTCCACAGGACTGGTCCATGAAGGATGTGGCCTGTCTGCCAGCCACAGCCTTTGCCTGAGGAATCTCTGTGGCCCAAAACACCTAATAAAAGAAACACAAGCATGAGGTCAGTGATTGGACAGGGGTCCCCCCCAAGACCTGGTGAGGGGGTCATCTCTGCTCCCACACTGCACAGAGCACTGCTGTGAACATACTGAAATAAAAAAGAGCTGCATGGCTGGGTAAGAACCAATCAGCCAGCCATTACTCTTAAGTACCATCTACTGGATCGCAGCTTCTTCTTCCAGTATATATTCTCTGTGAAACCCAGGGCAAGAATGTAGTCACTAATAAAGATCCTGTACAGAGGCTTGGCCCTCTGAAAGTAATCCAGAAACAAAGTGAACTCAACTATACTCAACTTACACCAAAGTTAATTCCTCAAGGAAAATAAAGAATAGAAAAACAAAAAGCTCCATCCAAACGACAGCAAATCCGAAAACACAAAAGAACGCAAGCTTTCTTGGATGAGAAAGAATCAGTTAAGAACTCTGGTAATTTAAAAAGTCAGAATATCCCTTTATATCCAAATGTTATTAGCTCTCCAGCAATGGTTCTTAACCAGATTGAAATGACTGAAATGACAGACATAGTTCAGAATCTGGATGGTAAGGAAACTCATTGAGATTCAGGAGAAGGTTGAAACCCATTCCAAGAAACCCGGTAAAACATTCCAAGAGTTCAAAGACAAAATAGCCATTTGAAGTAAAAACCAAACAAATCTTCTGTAATTAAAGATTGCACTGCAAGAATTTTATAATATAGTCGGAAGCATTAACAACAGAATAGACCAAACTATGGAAAGAATCTCAGAGGTCAAAGACCAGTTCTTTGAATCAACTCAGACAAATACTTAAAAAAATTCAGAAATGAACAAAACCTCTGAGAATATGGGATTATGTAAAGGGACCAAACTACAACTCATCGGCATTTCTAAGGGAGAAGGAGACATAGTAAGCAACTTGAAAAATATATTCGGGGATATAGGCCATGAAAATTTCCCTAATCCCATTACAGAGGTTGACATATAAATTCAAGAAAATACAAAGAACCCCTGTGAGATACTATACAAAATGACCATTCCCAAGACATATACTCATCAGATTCACCAAGTCAATGCAAAAGAAAAATTGTAAAGGCAGCTAGAGGGAAGGGTCAGATCACTTACAAAGGGAATTCCATCAGGCTAGCAGTGGACCTCTCAGCAGAAACCTTACAAGCCAGAAGAGACCGGTGCCTATTGTCAGCATCCTTAAAGAAATTTCAACCAAGAATTTCATATCCCACCAAACTTCACATAAGTGAAGAAGAAATAAAGTCCTTTTCAGACACACAAGCACTGAGGGAATTCATTACCACTAGACCAGTCTTACAGGAGGTCCTTAAGGGAATACTAAATATGGAAACAAAAGAACAATACCTGCTACTACTAAAACACACTTAGACACATAGCCCACAGACACTATAAAGCAATTACAAAATCAAGTCTGCAAAATTACCAGCTAACAAAATGATGGGATCAAAATCTCACATGTCAATATTAACCTTAAATGTAAGTAGTCTAAACACCCCACTTAAAAGTCATAGAGAGGCAAGTTGGATAAAAAGGCAAGCCTCCAACTGTCTGCTCTCTTCAAGAGACCCTTCTCACATGTAACACCACCCATGGGCTCAAAGTAAAGGGATAAAGATCTATTATGCAAATGCAAAACAAAAATAGACTATAAACAACAGCAATCTAGGAGGATATTACATAATGATAAAGAGTTCAATTGAACAAGAAGACTTAACTATCCTAAAAATATATGTACCCAATATTGAAGCACCCACATTCATAAAACAAGTTCTTTTTGACCTATGAAAAGGCTTAGACATCCACAAATAATAGTAGGAGTCTTCAACACCCCACTGACATAATTAGACAGATCATTGATACAGAAAACTAACAAAGATATTCAGGCCTTAAACTTGACACTGGACCAAGATTATCTACACGATACTTCACCCAATAACCACAGAATATACTTTCCTCTCATCTGCACACAAAATATTCTAAGATCAACCAGATGCTCAGCCATAAAGCAAGTCTCAATACATTGAAAAAAATCAAAATAATATCAAGCAAACTCTCGGGCCACAATGCAAAACAGAAGTAAATATTCAAAAGATCTCTCAAAACTACACAATCACATGGAAATTAAACAACTTGCTCCTGAATGACTTTTGGGTGAACAATGAAGTTAAGGCAGAAGTCAAAAAATTATTTGCAATTAATGAAAATACAGACACAACATACCAAATCCTTGGGATGCAGCTAAAATCAGTATTAAGAGAAAAGTTTATAGTGCCAAATGCCTACATCAAGAAGTTAGAAAGATCTAAAATTAACAATCTAACATTGCACCTAGAGGAATTAGAAAAACAAAACAAGCCAATCCAAAAGCTAACAGAAAAAAAGAAATCACTAAAATCAGAGCAGAACTGAATGAAATCAAGATACTATATTGTGTAGTGGCCAAGTTTGGATTTTTAATGTACCCATTACCCATTACCCAAATAATGTATACTGCACCCATTATGTAATTTCTCATTGTCCACCTCCCTCCTACTCCGAAACCCTTCCACATCTCCAGTGTCCATTATTCCACTGTATTTGTGGAATACTCTCTCCTATTTGTCACCTTTGCCCTTTTTTCTGCTGATAAATAAAATGTTTTATATTTAAAAAGATACAAAAATCGATATGAAAGATCAATGAAACCAAAAGGTGATTATTTGAAAAAATAAACAAGAGTGATAGACCACTAACTAGATTAACAAAGGAAAAAAAGAGAAAATCCAAATAAGCACAATCAGAAGTGACAAAGATGACATTACAACTGATCCCACAGAAATACAGAAGATCCTCAGAGACAATTATGAGAACATCTACGCACACAAATTAAAAAACTTGAGAGGAAATGGATAAATTCCTAGAAACACAACCTTCCAAGATTGAAATAGGAAGAAAATGAAAACCTGGACAGACCAATAACAAAATCTGAAATTGAATCAGTAATAATAAAAAAAAACCTACCAACCAAAAAACAAAGGTCAGGATCAGATACATTTACAGCTGAATTCTACCAGACATACAAAAAACTGCTATCAATTCTACTAAAACTATTCCCAAAAATTGAGGGAGAGGGATTCCTCCTCAACTTATTCTATGAAGCCAGTAACACCCTGATACAAAAATCTGGTAAACACAACAAAAAAATAAAATATCAGGTCAATAATCCCTGATAAACATGGATGGAAAAATCCTCAACAGAATACTAGCAAACGGAACCCAGCAGCACATACAAAAGTTAATTCATCATGATCAAGTAGGCTTTATTTTTAAGATGCAAAGTTGATTCCACATATGCAAATCAATAAACATGATACACCACATAAACAGAATTAAAAACAAAAACCATATGATCATCTCAATATATGCAAAAAAGCTTTAAATCCAACATCCCTTCAGGAGAGAAACCCTCAACAAATTAGGCATCAAAGGAGGATACCTCAAACTAATAAGACCTATCTATGACAAACCCACAGCCAACATCATACTGAAGAGGTAAAAGCTGTAACCATTCCCTTTGAGAACTGGAATGAGACAAGCATGCCCACTCTTACCACTCCTATTCAGCATAGTACTGGAAGTCCTAGCCAGGGCAATCAGGCAAGAAAAATAATACTGCACCCATTATGTAATTTCTCATTGTCCACCTCCCTCCTACTCCGAAACCCTTCCACATCTCCAATGTCCATTATTCCACAGAAATACAGAAGATCTTCAGAGACAATTATGAGAACATCTACGCACACAAATTAAAAACTTGAGAGGAAATGGATAAATTCCTAGAAACACAACCTTCCAAGATTGAAATAGGAAGAAAATGAAAACCTGGACAGACCAATAACAAAATCTGAAATTGAATCAGTAATAATAAAAAAAAACCTACCAACCAAAAAACATTCATATGGAACCAAAAAAGTGCCCAAATAGCCAAGCCATCATAAGCAAAAAGAACAAAATCAGAGGCATCACATTACCCAAACTATACTTCAAACTATATTATATATCACATTACTTCAAACTATATTATAAGTCTACAGTAACCAAAACAGTATGGTACTGGTACAAAAATAAACACATAGACCACAGGGACAGAATAGAGAACCTAGAAATAAAGCCACACACCTAAAATCGTCTGATCTTTGACAAAGTTGACAAAAATAAGTAATGTGGAAAAGACTCCCTAGTCAATAGATGGTCTTGGCATAACTGGCTAGCCATATGCAGAAGAATGAAACTGGACCCCTAGCTATAACCACATGTAAAAATTAACTCAAGATAGGTTAAACACTTAAATGAATGTCCCCATTTATAAAATCCTAGAAGAAGACCGAGCACATTGGCTCATACCTGTAATCCCAGCACTTTGGGAAGCTGAGGCAGGTGGATTACTTGAGACCAGGTGATCCAGACCAGCCTGGCCAACACGGCAAAACTCCATCTCTACTAAAAATACAAAAATTAGCCGGGTGTGGTAGTGCACGCCAGTAATTCCAGCTCCTGGGGAGGCTGAGGCACCAGAATCGCTTGAACCTGGGAGGTGGAGCTTGCAGTGAGCCGAGATCACGCCGCTGCACTCCAGCCTGGGTGACAGAGAAACACTCTGTCTAGAACAAAAAAATGCTAAAAGAAAACCTAGGAAATACCCTTCTCAGTATCAGGCTTGGCGAAGAATTTATGGCTAAGCCCTCAAAATAATTACTACCAAAATAAAAATTGGTAAGTGGGATCTAAATTAAACTAACGAGCTTCTGTACAGCAAGAGAAACTAGCAAGGGAGTAAGCAGAAATCCTACAGAATGGGAGAAAATATTCACAAACTATGCATTTGAGAAAGGTCTAATATTAAGAATCTATACAAAACTTAAATCAACAAGCAAAAAAGAAATAATCCTATTAAAAAGTGGGCAAAGGACATGAAGTGTCTACTTCTTAAAAGACATACAAGTGGGCAACAAACATAAAAGAAATGCTCATCATCACTAATTGTCAGAGAAATGCAAATCAAAACCACAATGAGATACCATTTCACACCACTCAGAATAGTCTTTGTTAAAAATTCAAAAAATAACAGATGCTGGTGAGGCTGCAGAGAATGGGAAGCACCTGCACACTGTTGGTGGGAATGTAAATTAGTCCAGCCACTGTGGAGAGCAGCTTGAATATTTCTCAAAGAACTAAGGGTAGAACTACCATTTGACCCAGCAATTCCATTACTGGGTATATATCCAAAAGAAGATAAATCATTCTGCCAAATGGACATACACACCCTTAAGTTCAACACAGCACTATTCACAGTAGCAAAACATAGAATCAAGCCACGTGCCCCACCATGGTGGACTGGATAAAGAAAATGTTTATATATATGTATATATACAATAGAATACCATGGAGCCATAAAAAAGAATGAAATCATGTCCTTTGCAGCAACGTGGATGCAGCTGGAGGTCATTATCCCAAGCAAACTAACACAGAAACAGAAAACCAAATATCACGTGTTTTCACTGATATGTGGGAGTTAAACATTGGGTACACATGGATATACAGATGGGTACAATAAACACTGGGGACTACTAGAACAGGGAGAGAGGGAGGATGGAAAGGGGCCGAAAAACTACCTATTGGGTATGATGCTCACGACTTGAATGACAGTTCAGTCATATCCCAAACCTCAGCATCATGCAATATACCTTTGTCACAAACCTGCACATTTACCCCCAAATCTAAAATAAAAGCTAAAATGAAAAAGGAGATTTTTCAGCTTCTTATTTGCCCTCTTGGAATGCTGTTCTGAGACTGCCATGAAGAAGCCCAATATAATCAATTAAAGAATAATAGGCCACATGGAGTAGAGGTGTGTCATTCCAACTTAGGCCCCCTAGTTAAGCAGCCAATAGCCAATATCAACTGCTAGACATGTCAGTACTGCCATCTTACACCGTCTAGCCCCTTTAGAGCTACAGAAGTTAGCCACATGAGTGAACCCAAGGGAGAGCAACTGCAGAAGCACCCAGCTGAGTCAAGACCAAATTATTTACCCATGGAGGAAAAAAAAGTTTCGAGTGGGTTCTTATGCAGCAATAGATAACTGATGAAGTACCATATTTCCTAATTTTCCAACGCAATTTAGATTTTAAATATTCTGTCCTATCATATGATGTGTCAAATGGATACTATTTTTTACATTGGAAATATGGTCTTACAAGATAGTAAGTACTAAAATGTGTTCCATAATGATGGTTGACCTAAATGGACACTTCTTACCTTCTAGAAGGTGAATTGTTATTATTATCTAGTATTAAAATAAAGTCATTTTAACCCTGAACACAGCTAGCTTTTCTTTCACTCATGCAAACTAAAAGTGGGGGCAGATAATCAAATTTAACTGCCTATGTATCCATAGAAGTATTACAGCTATTACTCATGACATCTAAGTCCAGTAAATTCCTTGTACATTCTTCTCCAGGTGTCACTGCCTCATGGCCACTCTTTCTGCCACATGCATCCATAGAAAAGCACAAACACATAAGAGATAAAATGAAGAGTGAGAAAACTGTAGATTAAGGGGCAAAGATGAATAACTGTTATAATGACACACTGAACAATCACATTTCTATAATACATTTTTGTTCGAATTGCCTCCCAGCTAGACCTCTCCTTGGGGAGATGCTGTGTAATTTCTCTGGTTATGTGATAGAACCAAGATGAAAGATAACTCACAAGCTCCTGTGGCTTAAAATATAATGGTTGAAAATTGGCGGGTTATTTTTAAAGGATTTTTGTCAAGGAAAGAGAGAACTATGCTCTTCCACCCCCAGCCACTGTCCTTCCACAAAATAAAAGTCAAATTGTTTCTTCTGTTTTTAAAGACGTTGCTAAAAAGTTATAGTGCAAATGTTTAATGAGTATTAATATACTACCCTAAATAACATCTCTCTTTTTCCTTACAATAAAAACCAAAAGATCTAAAATTTCTTCAAAAAGCAGTATAGTCAGATTCTGGGGAAAGAAATCAATTTTATAAATCATCTATAATTGAATATCTGTAATTGCAAAAGCTGTCACTGTACAATCATATACCTCATGGAACAGTCAGTTGGATTATATGATTACTTATTTTAACTCCCACTATTCTTGGAAGATATAAAAAGCAAGAATTCATATATCCAGAACCTTGTCTCTAAGGATAGCTGACTACTTCCACCAAAGTTAGAATTTATTTAAATACTGATTATAAATTAAGGTCAAATCATTTTAAATCTTCTAGACAATTCTAGTGCTGGTAGCACTTCTGTTCAAATATGCTGAATCATCTGAGGTTTTTTTTTTTCAGTATATACTCTACAAATGGGAAAACTTTTCAATGAAAAGCTAAAATTGTAGAATCTTAGCTCTAAAAGGGACCACAAACTTTTTAAGGTTATATATGAGGAAACTAAAGATCACAGAGTTGAAATAATATACCTGGAGTAGCAGGGTTTGTTAGTGGTGATGCTAGTTTGAGAACCAGGTTTCCTGGACCCTCTGACCAGCACTCTCTCCTCCATACCATGTGGACTCACCCTGGAAATTGTGTTCTCTGTGGATGGGAAGCCCTGGTATAACCCACTCCTGAATCCAGGAGCGGCCACACCTGAGCATGGAACTTCTATAACCCTTCAGACGCAGCCCTATCCCCAACTTATTAATTCAGATTCTCTACAGGAAAGCAAAGTGTTAGCAATATCTAAATGATCCCCAGGAGATTCTGGTATGCGCCTAGGGTGGAGAACACCTGTAATAGTTTCTCATCCTCACCCCCTTAATTGACTCAGGCTTAACAGGTTAGGAGTCACAGTCTTTGACTTCCTAGAATTTCTGGCTCTCTTTGGCCCCTTGATACTCTAGATATCAAGAACCTAATTCTGAGAGTTCAGACTTTTGGAGAACAGAAAACAAAAAGGGGATGGTGGAGAATAATTAAAGTACATGGGTCTTAGTGACAGGCATCATCAGTGACACTTCCTACAGACACATGAGAAATTACAAGAGAAAACTATCAAGAAAAAACTTGATTTGGCTATATAAAAATGGTTTTACTTATAGGCATTTGTCTCAACTGCTAACCAAGTTTGCAATAACATATATCAGATTGCTTATGGGTTCATTTCATTATATAAGTAGACCACTCATATAAAGTCATAGTTACCTCCTCACAAGTTCATGAAATTGTAGGCAATATGTCTTAGATGCATGCTTAGAAATTATGACATTGGAGATAAACAGGCAGAATATCTCATGTTTAAAAAAAAAGGTCTAAATCAGTCAGAATCCATGTTAGCTATATCACAAGAAAAATTATTAGCAATTCAAAGAGCCTAAAATGTATCAACTGATCCTCAATCCCAACCCAGTTCTCAAGAAGTAAAGCTAAATCTGGGTTATTTTGAACCTCAGAAATGAGAAAGATAATATTTACTTGCTGGAATAAGATTACAAGTAAAGATGGTCCCTCACCCCTTGAAAGTCTTGCTCAATTCTTGCAGTTGTGTTGAAAAATATTATTTTTTGAAAGTCCGCAGGCCATTTAAGTTTCCAGGTAAAGCATAAACATAGCCTGGTCAGCAGTGGGGTCACATGTCTCAGCCTGCCTCCTTACACAGGCAGAATTTTCATTGGTTAAATACTAATTTTGATCATATTTAATACCAACTATTAACTATTAGGCTTAAATACTGGAATCTGAACTACCTACTCAAGAAAAAGCATGTCTCTGAAGCTGCTTGGCTCAATTCCATGTGAACAGTCCAATATTTCAGAAACAACTGTGTCCCTTAAGCCTTCAACAGAACTAGAAGGGGAAAAGTTAGTTTGCCCAGTTTTTCTTCATGTCCCAGCTTGAGGTATATTTTATAGAACTGATTGTCTTTTTCCTGCCTCTGTCACCAATTCTTCCCCACGCCAACAAATCTCACATACGGAAAACACAAGTTAATTAAGCATTGTATTACAGAGTATTAATAGAAATGTTTCAGATGCTTTTCCTTAAATCCCTATGACACAATTACTATTGCCCTGAAGGAGAAATTAATTTTTATTGTAAACAGAAATACTTAAAAACATAGTTAAATGTTTAAACATCAGTTTAAAGAACAGATTAAAGGAAGTGATAGTTAAACCAAAACATTATATAGTCCAGCAAAGTAATGTGAAAAGAGAAAATATCCTCTCACCATTCTAAGCACATTAAGAGTTTTTCAAAGAATTTCACTCACTTGCATTTCAAGAACCAAATATGAATGTTGCCAATATCTCACTTCACTTCCTTGCAGTCTAACCACGGATAGCATCAAGAAAGCATTGCTTCCAGCTCATCGTTCTCCCTCCCTTAGATACATTAAGACAATTTTGATACATCAACAACCAGAGACAATGTAAAATAATGTCAGAGTTAAAAATCACAAGGCTTTGGGAGGCCAAGGCGGGCGGATCACAAGGTCAGGAGATCGAGACCATCCTGGCTAACACGGTGAAACCCCGTCTCTACTAAAAAATATATACAAAAAATTAGCCGGGCGTGGTGGCAGGTGCCTGTAGTCCCAGCTACTGGGGAGGCTGAGGCAGAAGAATGGCGTGAACCCAGGAGACAGAGCTTGCAGTGAGCCGAGATGGTGCCACTGCACTCCAGCCTAGGCGACAGAGACTCTGTCTCAAAAAAAGAAAAAAAAATCACAAGGCTACAAGTAACTTTCGGCATTTATGTGGTACATCCTCCACCTCCGACATAATCATTTAACCAGTGGTTCTCAACCTTGACTCCACACTGAAATCACCTGAAAAGCTTTAAAAATTCTGGTGCCCAGCTCTAAACCTCAGAAATTCTAATTCAATTGGTCTGAGGAGCAGCCTGAGCATCAAGATTTTTAAAACCTCTCTAGATATATTAGTTCATTCTCACAAAGAAGCTTCTTTCTAATAAATTAATATTATATTTAAAAATCCTAAAAAAAAAAAAAAAGAACTCCCCAAGAGGGTAATTTATAAAGAAAAGAGGTTTAATTGACTCACTGTTCTGCATGGCTGGGGAGGCCTCAGGAAACTTGCAGTCATGATGGACAGCAAAAGAGAAGCAAGTACCTGCTTCACAAAGTAGCAGGAGAGAGCGCCCGAAGGTGGAAGTGCCACACTTTAAACCATCAGATCTCGTGATAATTCACTCCCTATCAAGAGACCAGCATGGGTAAAACCACCCCCATGATTCAATCACCTCCCACCAGTTTCCTCCCCTGACAGGTAGAGATTATGGAGATTACAATTGGAGATGAGAGTTGGGTGGGGACACAGCCAAACCTTATCACCAGATGATTTTAATATGCAGCCAAGTATCAAAGCCCATCAAATAAAGACCACCAAGAAAACACCTGTAGTTAAGCAATGAGGCCTGCTTACCTTGCTGAAACTCCAGGAAAACATTGAGGGCTTCTCAGTAAGAGTCAGAGGGTGGTGGGTGGGGGGATTTTAGTAGATTATTTTTAGGAGTGATTAGGGAAGCAGGGAAAGTTTCTGGATTGAATAACATCAAGAAATTGGGGAAATTCTGTGATTGGGTTCCTCAATCGTCTTCATCCAAGAGCAGTGCTATCATTGATAAATAAGCAGAGATCATCAAAGAGGCAAAGTTGCTGGCAATGAGGGGTGTTAGTCATTTTTGTGGTTAAGATGTAACCTAACCATTGTCCTATTCTAAATATGGTGTATTTACGTTCTTTGGTGAAGATTTTGGTCTGGTTTTCGGCAAGGCCAATTTTTTCTCAGTCCAATTGGGCCAATTTTTATGCTATCAGAAGGTTGAGAACCACTGATTTAAACAAACTACCTAGCTGAATATGAATGCTGCCTGATTGTGACATCTGTCATTCTTTAGATTCCAGAGTTAAAGTTAGCAAATCTGGCTTATTAAACATGTTTTTTTTATTTCTCCCCAATTTATCCAAGTGAAACTTTCCCAAAGCTAAATCTTCCCAGAGAAAATTCTGTTCCCTTCCCTTGATACAATACATAGTTACACCCACAAGTTTAATTTGCAAGAGAATACATGCTACATTCTTAAGAAAAATCTAATTTAAAATTGCCCCTTTTGGTAAATCATCTTTAAAACACTAGTTATGCTGTATTTAAAACTCATTTTCTACTTATTCTGTTCTTGATGGAAGCTATTGTTAATTTTTCACAAGTATTGGCTCAGGGCTTTCTTGATACGGTACTACCCGTGAAAGATGGGGCTCCTTACAGAAATGTTTTTGACAATGTTTTGATGATTCACCTAATGTTCTGCTCTATAACAAATCAGAAGGTTGCAATCATTTATGTTTTACGCCAAGAATCACTGTGTGTATTTAATAGAAATTGGGATATTTAACTATTCTTTGGCGATCTGAAATATCTGTTTACTGTCTTAGGAAGCCTGCATAATAGTAGGTCATGTCTGCCTGAAAATAAGATACTTTCAGTGTTTTACATGTGTCAATACAGGGTATCATTTTTATTTCTTTATCAGAGATAGACAATACAGTACCTTCTGATGGTATAGCCAGACTACCCGGTATTCACTGAGAACCCTACTCAGGGCTGCCTATTCTTATTTTTACTACCTACACCTCGATGGGATACAAGTTTCTCTCACCTAGGCAGAGTTATATCCACTGCTGAGATTTAAAGGAGTCTGGAAATGGCACTATTATTTCTCTACTTGAGTTCTGAACCAGTTAAGAAAACCAAATATTAACATTAGCAAAAAGATATTTAAAGCCCTAAACCAAAAGAGGCCATATCACAGGTTGACTCCTCCAGGTGCATATACTGAGAGAGAGTTGGTGTTCAAGACATATATAAAGAATCAAAGGAAGGGGAGGAAGCAGAATGGAGCAGAGAAAAAAGTCAAACTGTGATGAAGACCCAAAACAGCCTTGGCCAACCTGGCAGGAGCTCTAGAGCGAGACTGCCCATTAGAGTCATCTCACAGTTGGTTGAAATGGCTGGGCCTTTTAATCTTGTCCTAGTTCAGTCACAAGATGTGGGATGCTCTGAAAAGGGCATATTCTTGAGCAAAGACATCCATCACTTTGCAGCTGAGGCTGACCCTAAGAAAGCAGGCAGCCGGAGACATTCTGCTGACCACCCTCTCCTCAGCTGGTCAGTGAGTTCTTTCTTGGAGGGGCTCTGGGTAACACATGTTCATGTCTACCACAGACCATGATGGGGAACACAGCTAAGGAGTTCAGCAACAAGAGGTTTCCCAATATGATATCCAGCACTAGATTTCCATCTAGACACAGGCAGCACTGAGCAATCACAGACCATCTGCTGAGATAGATGGGCAACGGGAAATGAGCAGAGATGCGGGCCTAGAAAATGCAGGTCTCGGGCCGGGCACGGTGGCTCATGCCTGTAATCCCAGCACTTTGGGAGGCCGAGGCAGGTGGATCACCTGAGGTCAGGAGTACAAGAGCAGCCTGGCCAACATGGTCTCTACTAAAAATACAAAAAATTAGCTGGGCATGGTGGCAGGCACCTATAATCCCAGCTACTCAGGAGGCTGAGGCGGGAGAATCGCTTGAATCTGGGAGGCAGAGGTTGCAGTAAGCTGAGATCCCACCATTGCACTCCAGCCTGGGCAACAAGAGCAAAACTCCATCTTGAAAGAAAAGAAAAAGGAAAAGAAAGAGAAAAAGAAAAAAAGAAAAGAGGGGAGGGGGAAGGAAGGAAGGAAGGGAAGGAGGGAAGGAGGGAGGGAGGGAGGAAGGGAGGGAGGGAGGGAAGGGAAAGAAAGAAAAGAAAAGAGAAAGAAAATGCAGTTCTCACAGGCAAGCTGACTCCTGAAGAAGAGAAACACAAAGAGCCTGAGATATGTGTATGCCAAATTTTTGCTCCCACATTTCATTAAACAGATTTTGCTCCATGAGAGGGAGTTTGAGAACAGATACAGAGACAGGCCAGGAGCGATATGCTAATGGTGACCCTCACCTGAAAGGAAACACCATGAGAGAAAGGTAAGTGGTCTCCTCTGTCCACCTGAGTCACAGATGGTCAGTTAAAGGCAGGGCAGTGAGGCTTATTCTCATTTCCAGATGTCCAGATTATCACAGTAATTCAAAGCTCTCATGTATACAGTAATCCCTTTTCTACATACTTATAAATATTATTCCATTTGAAAATTTAGTTACTCGGGAGTTGGTTTGGTTGGTTGGGGACTTGGAAGCTGAATTTTATTCTTGTTGTAGTTGCATACAAAATAATAGATTTATTTTCCAAGTTCTACATAACATTAATTTTTTTTTTTTTTTTTTGAGACGGAGTCTCACTCTGTCGCCCAGGCTGGAGTGCAGTGGCGCGATCTGGGATCACTGCAACCCCCGCCTTCCGGGTTCAAGCGATTCTCCTGCCTCAGCCTCCCAAGTAGCTGGGACTACAAGGCGCCTGCCACCAGGCCCAGCTAATTTTTGTAATTTTAGTAGAGACAGGGTTTCACCATGTTGGTCAGGCTGGTCTTGAACTCCTGACCTCAGGTGATCCACCCTCCTCGGCCTCCCAAAGTGCTGGGATTACAGATGTGAGCCACCGTGCCCAGCCAACATTAATATTTTTTAGATGCTCTGTACTCTTTTGTGTCTTAATGCAAAAATCACAATGGTTATTTTAAGAAGTCTGTGGCAAAGTGATGTTGTATATACTGCAAGTGGCAATTCAGCAGTCAGATTTTTTATCCTCATTCCCCTTTCAGCTACGCAGGAAAGGGAGTGCTTTGGAACTCAGATCAGGGAATCACAGTAGCACTCAGAGCGCAGGAATCAAGTGCAGCCATGGAGACACCCACTTCCTCAGTGAGGTGTTGAAGGTGGCTCTAAGAGCAACCACAGGTGCAAATCAGCTTTTAAAGAAGGAGCATGGGATAGGTCAAGGGCATGTCAGTCTTTCTCAGCCAGCCAAAGACACTTTAAGTAATAGGCTAGTCCTTCCTCTATAAAAGCATGATAACAAGATGTTAAGAAATTTTATTTTTAAAATATTGGCCAACTGTTTAAGTAAAATTCCATGTCACGGAGATTTGCTAACAAGATAATATATGACAAGGTGTTAATTTCCGTATGTGCAGTTAAGACAAGTCAGTCGTTCGAAATCTATTTCAGACTGATGGTCTAAAGATTGCCATAGGACCATTTCCTAAAAACACCTCCAACTCTTTAGAATATCTGCCTGAAATAGTTGAAACACAGCCAAATTAGAGAAAACACAAATCTATATTGGATCTGCCTGAACCCACACCTTTAATGATATTTAACAAAGTGTGGTCCTATGAGCACCTTACACAAATACTTCAAGCACTTACTAAAAACCCAGATGGCTGGACCTTACCTACTGAATGAGAATATCTAGGAAGTATGGCCCAGGAAGGAGTCTGCATGGTCCGCTAGTTCCCCCAGGTGATTCTAATACACACTCTAATTTGAGGAAGCCTGTTAGAAATTCAGGCTGCAAAAGGTCAGACATGAAGTCCAGAATTCAGGCTCAATGAAAAAACTCTACAGAATTCATTTGACATTTATTTGGGAACAGTATTTTTCACAAGAGAAAACTAAAACTCTTACTTATTCATTCAATAAATATTTTATTGTGTTCCTGCCTCATCTAGACCCTGTGCTAAATGCAGTAGATTCAAAAATGAAATGCATAGATTGTAAGAATGGTCTAGAATCATCACACATTATGACTCCTTTCATACTGAATTCAGACCTCGGGGTATGTATATTACTAGCATTTAAAATGAGAATTCTGGGGAGAAAATTAAACTCATGCTCAAGTAGAACTATCCTAAGGAAAGAAAAACATTAAAAAGTTTACAGAGAATACAATTAAATGTATCCATTCTTCTGTGGAAAAAAAGTGGGGTGTGGAGGGATGAACAGACATGCATGTCACTATTTTTAAATAAAAAGTTATCTTGAAACGAGATCAGAGCTTAGAGGATGACTCCTACCCCAACCTGAATCACTTCTTTATAGTAGAATCAGAGAGTTGATGAACTTTTGATCTGTCCTTTCTTTCTTTGGAAACATACATAGATCTAAAACCTGGTTATCAAAAAAGGTCATGAAGAGAGGATAAAAGGATAATATATAAAGCATTGTTGATTTTCCATAAAGTATCCATGAAACCTGCAGAAAGAATCTCCAAACACTAAACCCACTTCACACACACTACCACAATTCACTAGAATATTCCTCCTTGCTTGCTAGAATAAGCTAAGCTTGCTCAAGATTGAACACCTGAAATGGTTTCTACAAAGTGTACACAAATATGGTTATGGTATGAGAAGCACATACACGTAACTCCATTTGACCCTCATAGCTTTTGTTTATAAAAAGATTTCACCAAATATTTGTTTATAATTTTGTCCTATGATCAGACAAAACCTCTTCTGATGGTTTTGTCCACATCTTATCAAAATCAAAACAAAGAAAAGCATGCATTGAAAAAAACTGGAAAACATATTTTAATATTAAAATTAAATAGAACTATGGTTTATTTTTCTACATTTCCTAAATATTTAATAGTGAGAATGTATTACTTTATAATAAAAAGCATTTTAAATTAACTTCTTGATAGGGAGTTTTATTTTATGACAAAATATAATTTTTAAAGTAAAAATAAATTTCAAAGTAATAGTCTTCAATGGTCATTGTTTCTTTTCATCTTATTTCCTCTCCTCTTTAATATGTTTTACCCTTCAGGACAGATCATCGATCATCTCTATGTTCTTTCAAACATATGTAAGTTTCAACATTTTTGTTATAACAAGAAGTTCTGGCTTTTCTTTTTCTCTTCTCTTTTGTTGCAGCCTCATAAATTCTAACCACAGCTGTCCACTCTACCTCCCATTATTCTCAATAGTCTTGACTAACTGACTTTGAAAGCATATTGCTTCAGCACATTAACTTTTGCTGGGCACCTTTTTTCCACACCTGACTCTCCTACCTTGCAATTTTATATCTACTCTAATAGTTTTCTAGGTAATAAATTATACATGACATCTGTCTTGTCCTAGTTTTTAAAATCCCTGTAGCCTCTTAGAAGTCTTTTTAATGTCCTTATTGTCAAGTCCAAACCAACTCTGATATTTCCTTCATGTAATACTCTTCTACTTATCTTTTTTCTATCTTTGCCCTTACACTTTTTACTCCACCATCTTTCTCAGCATTTTCTTCAGTAGTTTTTTTTTTTCTCCCTCTAATGCTATCCATAGCTTATGCTTCTTGCTTTCTTCTTTTTCTACCTCTTGGTCTGCCTCTTTCATTTGCTGTAAATTTGGTGTAAAATCACCCAACCCATGGTAGATCCCTTTCTCCTTCTTCAAGTCCAGATACCATGTGTTCTTTAATCTGACATAAACTAGCCACAGGCAAGGCTCATTTGATTCTTACCATTGAGCCTTAAAATTAGCTAGTGTGGTGAATAAGACATTCATAATAACCCTTGGCTCATAAATGAGAATAGAGGGAGAAAGGTTAAGTGATCTTTCCATAGACATTGAATAATATAGTGATTGAGTGGTGAACAAAGGTTAACTACATGATTTTGTTTTCCTTTGTTTTCACATAGATTTATATTCTGACAAGAGCAGACAGATGTGTCCAGCCAAGGGAAGGCCAACTAGTATAGTACTATTGCTCTAATGTCTAATATTTTAATAGATTAGCTATGGTAAAATGGCCTATGTGAATGAAAATATAAGTTGCTTGCAGAGAGAGTTCAGGAATTCTCCTTTAGAGAATGCATCACTTTGAAAACACAAGGCACTCCAGAAATGCATGATAAATAAAAGAATTTTTAAAAATGGTTAATCAATCTAAATGGTATTTTTACAGTCTATAAGAATTTTAAATTTTTCTGCTAGAATAAAACCCCCTAAAGATTTCAATCTTATAGACACTTAGAAATCCCCTGGATCATAAGAAATAGTTTTAACGATAGCGTAAAGTTTAAAATGCACACACACACACACACACACACACACCCCCACACACACATATTCTCAGCAAACAAATAACATGACAGGTAGTTTGATCACATTTCACAGAATAAAAGTATAAACATACTAAGTAAATTCCACACTAAATCTCCATCACCACATGTGCATACATTATAAGTAAATATATCAAGGAATCTGAACGCTTGAGAAATGCCATATGTAAAAATTATCTGACACTGGCTTTTTAAATTCTTCGGCAAATTTTGAGTATGCACTTGACACCAGAATATGTAAGCAAACAATGTAAGCATGTATGCACCCAAATTAGAAGCATAAATAGTCATCTAGGCAGTAGATGAAAATGTCATTCCCTAGGATGGGTACAGTTTCATGGGTAATTGATCATATATGCCAACTCTGGGAATGTATTCCCAGACAGTGACTTGAAAGACCTTGAAACTATAAAGGCAAGGAACATAATATTGCTAGAACCAGAGTGATCATTCTGACTTGAAATGACTTGAATGTGATATTACACACCAAACATGTAAAAAAAATTTCAGTACTATAGAAGTTAAAAAGTTGTGAGGAAAACAAAAGGTGGTAGGATTCTTCAGAATTACAGCAAACCATCCATACCTGTGCTGTCCAATACCATAGTCACCAGCCACACATAGGTATTGAAATATGGTTAGTCCAATTGAAAAACTGAATGTTTAATCTTAATTGTAATTATATTTAAGTTACATTTCATTAAATTAATTTTAATTAATTTAATTTTAATTTTAAAACCAGTCCTCAATACCATTATTAGAAAATGTTTAAAAATATTTGGAGCTGGGCACAGTAGTCCATGCCTGTAGTCTCAGCTACGCAGGAGTCAGGTGGGGGGCTAACTTGAGCCCAGGAGTTTAAGACCAACCTGAGCAACATAGCAAGACTCCATTTTATATAAATTATTTAAATTAAAATATATATATATATGGACAACTTAAGTATGTTAATCTACTTTTTCAACTGTAAATTTTATGAAATCTAAATGCATACTAAGTCTTTCCAGTAAAAATTTAGTGTCCAAATTAAGATATGCTTATCCACTCAGTTGTTAGCTACTTGCAAAAAGTCAAAGACAAATAAGTAAATAATGATTTTCTCAAGCGCAGCACATCCTGTTAAGTACTTACTAAAGATTCAGAAATAATTAAAGCCATGACAATTAAATATAAAACTGCATAAAATTTCCCCCTAAAAATAACAAAATGGTACAAATCAACAAGAAAATGTCCTGAAAGAAACTAGCTATCAATTTTCTGGTCTTGAACTGAATATCAGAATGAATATCAAGAGATCATGGAATCATCAGGGGTTTTTACTATTCTTAACATTGAGTCCCATAACTATACTGGACATGAATTCAAAATGCAGCAAGCCAAGTCATAATTAGATAGCAGCCAACCTCGTGATTACTCATAATCTTAAAACACATTACCAGGACTCAAGAAGAGGATGTTGGATTGGAATAGATGAAAAACTACCCACTTGGTGTTATAGATCAAAGGGAATGTATTCAGGCTAAAACAAACCAAACCAAAGGTAGAAAAACTGATTAAATTTTTGTCTTGGTTTTTAAATAAGAAAAATTTTAGAAAGATTCACTTCCATTTCTAAGTTTCCTGCTACTTCCACCATATCTGCAGTGACTTTCTCCACTAAAGAACTGAATCTTTCCAAGTCATCCATGAGGGTTGGAGTCAAGTACTTCCCAACTCCTGTTAATGTAGTATATTTTGACCTCTTCCCACAAATCACAAATATTCTTAATGGTGTCTAGAAAGGTGAATTCTTTCCAGAAGGTCTTCAATTTCCTTTACCCGAGATTCATCAGAGAAATCACTATCTATGTCACCTGTAACCTTAATAAATGTATTTCTTAAATAATAAGACTTGAAAGTTGAAATGGCTCTTTGACTCATGGGTTGCAGAATGTATGTTGTGTTCACAGGCATAAAAACATTAACATCCTTGTACCAGTCTATCTGAGTTCTTAGGTGACAAGGTACATTGTCAATGAGCAGTAATATCTTTAAAGGAATCTTTTTTTTAATTTTCTGAACAGTAGGTCTCAACAGTGAGCTTAAAATATTCAGCAAACCATGCTGTTAACAAATGTTCTGTCATGTGGGCTTTGTTGTTCAATTTATAAAGCACAGAGAGAATAGATTTAGTATAATTGTTAAGGGTCCTAAGATTTTTCAGAATGGCAAATTGACATTGGCTTCAAATTAAAGTCACCAGCTGCACTGGCCCCAAACAAAAGGGTCGGCCTGTTCTTTAAAGCTTTAAAGCCAAGCATTGACTTCTTCTTTCTAGCTATGAAAGCCCCAGATGGCATCTTCTTTCAATATAAGGCTGCTTTGTCTATATTGAAAATCTGTTGTTTAGTGTAGCCACCTTCATTGATGATTTTAGCTATATCTTCTGGATAACTTGCTGTATCTTCTACACGAGCATTTGCTGCTTCACCTTACACTTCTATGTTATGGATATGGCTTCTTGTCTTAAACCTTATGAACTAACCACTGCTAACTTCCAACTTTTCTTCTGCAGCTTCCTCACCTCTCTCAGCCTTCATAGAATTAAAGAGAGTTAGAGCTTTGCTCTGGGTCAGGCTTTGGCTTAAGGGAAGGTTGTGGCTGGTTTGGCCTTCTATCCAGACCATTAAAACTTTCTTCATATCAGCAATAAGACTACTTCACTTTCTTATCATTACTGTGTTTGCTGGAATACCACATTTAATTTCCTTCAATAACTTTTTCTTTGCATTCACAATGCGGCTACCTGTTCGGTGCAAGAGGCCTAGATTTTGGCCTATCTTAGCTTTCAACATGCCTTCTTCACTAAGCTTAATGGTTTCTAGCTTTTGATCGAAAGTGAGAGATACGCAACTCCTCCTTTCCCTTGAACATTTAGAGGGCATTGTAGGGTTATTAATTGGCCTAATTCAATACTGTTGTGTCTCAGGGAATAGGATGGCCCAAAGAGAGGGAAAGAGATGGGGGAACAGCCAGTCAGTGGAGCAGTCAGAACACACACATTTATGGATTAAGTTCACCATCTGATATGGGCATAGCTCATGGTGCCCCAAAACAACTATAATAGCAACATCAAAGATAACTGATCACAGATCACCCTAACAGATATACTAATAATGAAAAAGTTTGAAATATTGTGAGAATTACCAAAATGTGAAACAGACATGAAGTGAGCACATGCTGTTGGAAAAATGGCATCAATAGACTTGCTTAATGCAGTTTTTTTAAGTGCAATATATTTATTTCTGCTAGAAATATATTATCAACCTTATGTAATATTTGAAGCATTACATATTATTTGTAAACAGCTTAAAATTATATATTACCCCAATTGTATATAAGTACAAATGTGTGGATATTAGTTTCTTTCATTAAAAATGGTGTTTTTTTAAAAATACATATGCACCCATTTACACCTTTCATTCACTTACACTGTTTTATGATGTTTGGTACCTGTTTCCTCACCTGAAAAAAAGGATTAGATAAGATCGTGGGTCCCAGCTGGCCACTCACAGGCTGGACGCAGCCCGGGATTACTGCACAGTATTTTGGGTTTGTCTTTAGTTGCATTTGAAAGCCTTTGGAAAAGACATTGCTCTCAAGTTCCCACTATTTTCCATTTTCTGCACCCAGTCCCCTTCATTCGTGTATGCTACCCAATGAACCCTCACAATCACATGATTTTGCACCTCTCTGTACTGAATTATACTGAAGACTCCATAAAACTTAAAAACTCCTGTATCTCATTTCAGCCATGAGCACTTGGATATGCTGTAATGATATTACACAAAGCAGAATGACACCAAATAAGATTAGCCAAATTGTAAGTCTTAATCCTCCTTCCACACGACATTCCTTTAAAATATTTGATGTTATCATTACCCCCTGCTTTCAAAAGTCTACTCTATTACCCTTAATTTTTTTGTGCATGCCTAACACCAACCTTTTAGAAATCTTTTATTTGGAAGGATTTCATGCTTAAGGTAGAGTTGCAAGAAGACCATAAAGAAACTCTGTACACCCTTTATGCAGATTCACAATTGTTAATCTTTTGCCCTATTTACTTTATCATGTGCATTTACAGTGAGTAGTGTGTGCATAAACACACATGCACATGCATAGATATGTAATATATACAAATTATTTTTCTGAACCCCTTGAGAGTAAGTAGCATGTCATGCCCCATTATCTCTAAATAATTGAAAGTGTATTTCCTAAAAACAAGATTCCACTAAATAATCACAGTAGGGTTAGCAACTTCAGGAGATTTAACAATGATGCAGTACTTTGACGTATCATCTGTATTCCAGATTTGTCAAATTACCCAGTAATGTCATTTGTAGCATATCTTTTCTTCAGTACAGATCCACTTCAAAATCACATATTGCATTTAGTCATCATGCTACTTTAGTCTCCTTAAATATAGTACAGTTCTTCAGCCTGTCTTTGTCTTTCATGGCAAAAGGATTCCTATTGTATTAGAAATCATGAATTCATACTGATACCTCCAATTCCAATGCACTCCCACAGAGTCCTCTTTTCTTGCTTTGCCCCGTTTGATATCTGTATGGAATACAGTGGAAGAAGACTCAACAATTACCTCAACGTATTTATTTACTCAACTCTACCATACACTTAAAACTAATTTCAGATTGCTTCACCTGTACAACTACAACACACAAACCTTCTAAAAAGAGGTCAGGGTTTGTTTGCATTGTTTCTGTGCTACTCAACTAACAGTGTATAGCCAGATGATATGTTCAGCAGTTACTTTGATTAATTCCTTTTTTGTCCTCCTGGATAGTTATGTTACTCATGCGCAATACAAGTGGGTTTATTTGTTCGGTTTGTTTGGAGTTTTAATGGATCTTTTCCTTCCTATTTTTATGGATATTTTTAAAAAATAGAAAATAATGTGCTTTCAACAAACTCATAGATCTAATAAGTGATTATGGCAAGGTTGAATTATAGCAAGGTTAGAGGATACAAGATTAATACTTTAAAAGACCGTTGCTTTCCTATATACCAGAAATGAACAATTGGAATTTGAAATAAACAGTTATATCATCACTAAAAAAAGAAAAAAGAAGAAATAGGTTTAAACAAAATATTCACAAAAGCTATATAAGGTAAACTACAAAACTTTGACAAAATAAATCAAAGAAGGTCTAAATAAATGGAGAGATAGTCCATGTTCATGGATAGGTAGACTCAATATTGTGAGGATGTCTGTTCTTCCCAACTTGATCTATATATTCAATGCAAACACAACCAAAATTCCAGCCAGTTACTTGTGGCTAAGAACAAACTGATTCTAAGGTTTATTTAAAGGCAGAAGACCCAAAATAGCCAACACAGTATTAAAGAAGAAAAACAGTCAGAGGGCTTAAACTACCCAACTTCAAAACTTACTACAGAACTATAGTAATAAAGACAGTGTACTATTGGCAAGAGAATAGACAATTAGATAAACGGAACAGAGAGCCCAGAACTAGGCCCACATAAATATAGTTAAATGACCTTTGACAATGGAACAAAGGCAATTCAGTGGAGAAATAATAATCTTTTCAACAAATGGTACTAGAACAACTGAATATCCACATGCAAAATAATAAGTCTAAACACAGACCTTAAATCTTTTGCAAAAATTAACTTAAATGGATCATAGACTTAAATACAAAATGCAAAACTATAAAACTTCTAGAAAGTAACAGGAGAAAATCTAGGTAGTTTTGGTTTTTTAGGTACAACACCAAAAGTACAATCCATTAACAAAAAAATTAACATGATGGACTGCATGAAAATTAAAAACTTCTGTGAAAAACATTGTTAAGAGAATAAAATGACTAGCCACACTCTGGGAGTAAATATTTGCAAAAACACGTATCTGATAAAGGATTCGTATTTCAAATATACAAAGAGCTCTTAAAACTCAACAGTAAGGAAAAGATGAATTATGGGCAAAGGATCTCTCTGAACAGACACTTAAAGATATACAGATGGCAAATAAGCATATGAAAAGATGCTCGACATCACATGTGATTAGGGAGTTGCAAATTAAAACATGAGCTACAACTACATACCTATTAGAAGAGCTAAAATTCAAAACACTAGCAATGCTAATGCTGGTGAGGATGTGGAGCAATAGGAACTCTCATTCATTGCTGGTGGAATGCAAAGTGGTACAGCCATTTAAAAAGATAGTTTGTCAATTCCTTTCAAAACTAACATAGTCTTATCATATGATCTAGCAAGTACGTTCCCGGGTATGTACCCAAGTGAGTTAAAATTTTATGTCCACTTAAAAATCTGCACATGACTGTTGACAGCAGCTTTATGCATAATTGCCAAAACTTAGAACTAAGATGTCCTTCAATAGGTAATGGATGAACAGTCTGTGGTATATCCATTTTCCATACAATGGAATATTTTTCAGCAATAAAAAGAAATGCACTATCAAGCTGTGAAAAGACTTGGAGGAATCTCAAATACATATTGCTAGTGAAAAATGAGCTATACACTGGGCGGTTCTAATTATATGACATTCTGGAAAAGGCAAAATTACAGAGATGGTAAAAAGATTGGTGGTTTCCACGGTTTGGGGGGAAAGAGGGAGAAATGAAGGGATGGTGCACAGGTGATACTTAGGCCAGTGAAATAACTCTGTGATGCTACTGTAGTAGTAGATACATGAAATCATGCATTTGTCAAAACTCATACTACTGTGCAACTCAGAGTAAGCTATAATGTAAACTATGGACTTTTTGGTCAATAATGCACCAATATTGGTTCATCAGTTGTAACTAACGCACTACAATAATGCAATAGTTTAATAATAGGGGAGACTGCCAGTGTGGGGGAGAGGGGATATACGGGACTTCTAGATTTTCTACTCGATTTTTCTGTAAACCTAAAACTGCTCTAAAAATAGCCTCTTAATAAAACAACAACAACAATAAGATACCGCTTAACAACCACTGCGATGGCTATAATTATAATTACTAACAAGTTGGCAAGGATGTGGAGAAATTGGAAACCTTATATATTGTCGGTAAGAATATAAAATGGTGTAGTCTGGCCATTCGTGAAAAGGATAAAACAACGTTACTTACTATATGACCCAGCAATTCCACTCCTAGATGTACACCCAGGAAAAATTAAGAGATATGTCCACACAAAAACCCGTACACGAATGTTCATAGCAGCATCATTCATGATAGGCAAAAAGTGGAGACAACCCAAATGCCCATCAACTGACAAATGGATAAATAAAATGTGGCATATCCATATAAAGGAAGATTATTCAGCTATAAAAAATGAAGTACGATAAATGTTACAGCATGGATGAACCTTGAAAACAGGATGCTAAGAGAAAGAAGCTGGTCAAAAAGGATTACATGTTATATGATCCCATGAATGTGAAATGTCCAGCATAGAAATATCCATAGAGATGGAAAATAGATTAGTGCATGCCAGAGGCTGGAAGGAGGGAGGAATGGAAATGACTGCAATTAGATATGGGGTTTCTTTTAGGAATAGTGAAGATTTAAATTCTGTTAACACTTATAACTAAGACACTGCACTAGCCCTTTAAATATTTCCAAATTTTAATTTTTTAAAAAAAGTCTACCTTGCTTTTTTTGAACCCAGGTATACAGCCTTAATTAAGAAATATGAAAGCTGCAAAACTCGATGGTTTTTCTACTAATGGATTATAAATTGTCACTAATAAGTATCTCAAAAAGGGTTTCAATGGATGGTACTAAAGATGAGAGCATTTTAAAGTTTCATATTTATCTTTAGGGGATGGGTCCATACCTATGCGAAAGCAGAGCTCTGCTGCCCCCAACAAGTCTGGTGGTCTTGATATAAACGCTTATTATTTATTTAGGGCTGTCTCACTCTCCTCCTTATTCTCTATTTGCCATTTAGGCTACTAGTAGATAGAAGTAATTAGAAAATAGGAACAAGGAGGCCCACCCTACTTAGAGACTGGGCAGTGCAGGTGAGAAGGAATCAGAGGAATAAAGTTCAGGGATAAGGGGGAGGCCAGGTTGGGGCTGGGCCGAAGAGATGAGAGAGATGAGCTCAGCCCTCTGGGTGGGCAATGACAAGTGTAGGTACTAGAGGACAAACTGTGGGATAGATTGCAGAGTAAGACCCTCAGGGTGGAGTCTGAACACATAGCTGGAGGCAGAGGAGGAGGGAAGGAAAAAAGTGGTAAAAAGAGATCTTAGTACAGGCCACTGTATGACTTAGCAGGTGCATCTACCTAAATATTTGTACAAATACCAACTAGAATCAAATAAGTTTAAAAGACCTTATCTAGGCCATGTCATCCAAAGTATTTTATAGTTGAGGAAATCAGAACTAGAGAAACAAAGTAAATTGGCCAAAGCATACTGGGCCTAGTCTAGTGATATATCTTCAACTCTATATTATAATCAAAGTTCAATCTTAAATCAACCTAAAATATTATATTATGTAAAATACAGCACACAGATTCATTATGTATCATTGGCACTTTTACTATGTTTTGCATTTAATCTGCCCATAAATATTCTGAAACTCATTCTTTAAATCATTTCCTGTTTGCCCCAAAAATACTCATCTCTAATCCTACTGTAACATCATCATCTACATTTCTGTTACATTAGGATTAGAGACAAATTCTGTTTATAAATAACTCTAAGAACAGTTTTTATATTTTATTTTCATGTTGAAAATCAGTCAGATTTGCTTCAGCCTCAAATAAAGTGTTTATGTAAAATTAAATGAGCACTGGCAGCAAGCTGCACTTTTTTTTTTACTAAATGGGGAAAATGGACTAATATAGCAGAGGCTTTTGCTTATTAATATTGAATGTAGTAATTCTTATATTAGTTACTTTGGTGGTAAATAAAAATAATCTCAATATGATGGAGTTTGTACATGGTATATTACCATCAAATCCAGGGAAAAATGGATTTTGTAGATTTGGGGATGTGGTACAAGTATATAAGTTTAGTTGTGTATATGTTGGTTAAGTCATTTAACAGTGATAACTGAGTACCAATCTGGTTCAAATGAATGTGCATATACTATGCAGTTGTGCAGTCTCTCTACTTGGAGCTGAAAGAATCTCCCAATTAATTTATGGATCACCTCCCTCCCTTTGAATAAGACACGCCTTTATAAGGCATGTCTTATCTGATAAAGGCCTAGAGTTGTTTATAAGGTATGTCATATCTGACATAGGCCTGGAGCACTACATGACCAGGGCATGGGTGGCTTACAGAGCTCTAGTTTTTTGGTTTTGGGGTTTTTTGGGGGGGTTAGGAGTGGGGAGTGGATAGCCCCCTCATGGACACAGAAAATAGATTGGAACTCTTGGAAATTCCAACTTGTTATTACAGATGCCTTTCTTCCATAGTCCAAAAGACAGCATTATGCAAAGTATCACTTACAGATGCATTTACATCTAAACTTGCTGTATGCTTCACAGCAAGTTGGTGTCTTTCCACTTTCTCCTTGATGAAGACCTGCATCCAATATGAATTTAAAGAGGCTCTGTAAAGTAATTCGACAGCAGCAAATATGCTATTTAAAAATGAGTCAATCCAAGATATGTAAATCCAAGAAAGGTTTTAGACTGAAGCAGTTGTTTTATAAAATACACATGCCCAAAGACACTTTTTTAGTGGAGGCAACTTGCTGAAGAAGAATTTGAAAGGATCTTTTAACATTTATAAGCAGACCAATTTGAAATTACCTAGAAAATAAGTAAGCTCCAAGAAGAACATACCTATGGCTATCCTATTTTTCGAAGGCAAAAATGGAGCTACAAAATTAAACAAAGGATGTATTTCATGTTTGAATTTGTAGAAAAAGTCTTAGAAAGGTATAATGAAAATAAATAAAATTACTAAATAAGATAACTATGAGATCCTAAGAATTTTGCCACCATCTTTGGGAATAACTAATGCTGATAAAGTAGAGACTAATACTTTGGTGCCAATTCCAACTCCTTGCACTGTACAAAGGGGGAAAAGTATCTTAATGCATAAGAAATTATGAGACAACACAAATAAAAACCAATCTTTTATGCAGAAAGTTTCAATTAAAGTGAAATTCATATTTTAAATTACCAAATTATAACCGGAAAAGTTTGTAATGTTTTCAAAATGGTCTTCGCCAAACTACCTCTATCTAGCCTGGAGGCTAGAGATGGAACTTAACTATCCACTTAAATTATATCTATGTATTTGTGCAAAGTTAAAACTTTAAATCTAATAAATTATTCGAATCAATTAAAACAAAGTCATTATTATTTGGAAAACTAAATCTTTGCCAGGATGAATATCTTAATTATTTTGACATATGAAATATGCAATGTAATTTTTATGTGGGGTTACATTTGGAATTTTCCTACATTTCATATTTAGTAAATGGATTTATTATAAGACAGTGATTTTTTTAAAGAATGAATTTAATAAGTAACTGTTTTGAAATTTTGATTTACAGATCATTATTGCCATCTGCTGGTTACATAGTTTAATTGCATTTTTTAAAATTCCCAATTGTTTTACTAAAAGACAAAGGAAAAACTGAGGCAAGTTTTAGATATCCATAACCGGATTAGAGATCTCTATGTAAGACAGATAATTTGCAGCCAGGTGCAGTGGCTCATACCTGTAATCCCAATACTTTGGGAGGCAGAGGCGGCAGGAATGCTTGAGGCTAGGAGTTTTAGACCAGCCTGGGCAACATAGTGATACCCCATCTTTACAAAAATAAACAAATTAGCTGTGTGTGGTGGCCTGCACCTGTAGTCCTTGCTACTCAGGAGGCTGAGGCAGGAGGATCCCTTGAGCCCAGGAGTTCAAGGTTTCAGTGAGCACCATCACACTTTAGCCTGTGTGACAGTGAGACCCTATCTTCAGAAAAAAAAAAAAAGCTAAATCATATGCATGAAAAAATGCTCATCATCCCTGGCCATCAGAGAAATGCAAATCAAAACCACAATGAGATACCATCTCACACCAGTTAGAATGGCGATCATTAAAAAGTCAGGAAACAACAGGTGCTGGAGAGGATGTGGAGAAATACGAACACTTTTACACTGTTGGTGGGACTGTAAACTAGTTCAACCATTGTGGAAGACGGTGTGGCGATTCCTCAGGGATCTAGAACTAGAAATACCATTTGACCCAGCCATCCCATTACTGGGTATATACCCAAAGGATTATAAATCATGCTGCTATAAAGACACATGCACACGTATCTTTATTGCAGCACTATTCACAATAGCAAAGACTTGGAACCAACCCAAATGTCCAACAATGATAGACTGGATTAAGAAAATGTGGCACATATACACCATGGAATACTCTGCAGCCATAAAAAAGGATGAGTTCATGTCCTTTGTAGGGACATGGATGAAGCTGGAAACCAGCATTCTCAGCAAACTATCACAAGGACAAAAAATCAAACACCGCATGTTCTCACTCACAGGTGGGAATTGAACAATGAGAACACTTGGACACAGGAAGGGGAACATCACACACTGGGGCCTGTCATGGGGTGGGGGAAGGGGGGAGGGATAGCATCAGGAGATATACCTAATGTAAATGATGAGTTAATGGGTGCAGCACACCAACATGGCACATGTATACATATGTAAAAAACCTGCACGTTGTGCACATGTACCCTAGAACTTAAAGTATAATAAAAACATATATATATAAAAGCTAAATCATGAGGCATCTCTGTTTCAAAGATGGTAAGATAATGCAAGAATATATTGCATCTTATCTAATTATAATGTGCTATTTTAATTGTCAATTAATCATAGATTAAATTATCAACCTAACTGCTTTAAGTTATTGTCATTAGTTAGTATACAGCTAAAATGTGACTCAAATAACCATTCAAAATAATGAGGTCAAAATAAGTGACCACTGTTACAGAAGCTGTAAAAACATGAAAACATCCATGATTCTATTCAACTGCACATAAAACTAAGTGTCATGATTTCCCTCTTATACACAAATCTACTCCTCTCCTTAGTAGGAGTAGATACATAATGATTTAGGCAACTATCTCTCAGTTAACTAATGAATCTAAAACATGTATTACTGTTTAATAATTACTAACATATCACTTGATGACAAAGAAACCAAGTGAGCAAAATATTAATTGGAAGTATTGGCAAAAATAGCAATTACTTTTGCACCAACCTAAAAATACTCACGAGTGCACTATAGGATGGCCGGTCTAGAACATAATAAAGGAACATTTGTTTAAGCATGTGCTGTGTTTTTGATGCTTTACAAGCATTAATTCATTCAATCATACCATCAGTAAGACAAATATAACTGTCTTCATTTTTCAGATGAGGAAATTAATCCTAGAGTGGCTAAATTACTAGCTCAAGGTCATACATTGGTAATCTTCCTATATGAGTCCCCTGTGTAAAAGATTTAGAGCAGCACATGGCACACAGTTAATTTTATGTGTTTACTAAACATATGAATCATAAAATATATCCTGCTTCTTTTTTCCTTTAACATTATATCATGACTATTTTCCTATATCATTAAATATCCATGCAAAATGACTTTAGTGGCTGTAATGCTTCACTATATGAATGTTTCATAACTTAGTGTTTGATACTGAGGCCACTTCTATTTTTTAACGATATAAATAATAGCACAATGAACATTCTTATAAAAAGATTAATTTTTTAAATGATAAAAATGACCAGATTTGTACTTTCAAGGGCTAGACCATGGTAAGAGCATTTTGTATCCCACCAGGACACCAAGTGATGCAAAAGGCAATTGGAAACTCCAGAAAAAACAAACTGACCAAAAAGAAAAACAATCGCTCCACTTCACTTATTGTTCCAAAAAACATTAAAACAGTCATATTTTAAAATAAGGTGCTTTATTTTGAGTTTGCCTAGCCATTCAAGAATATATTCTTATCAACCACCGTAAATACTTTGTATTTTAAATGCAGTATTGGACAGATAGAATTTATTAGCTGTTAAAACTTGGGCAAATAACTACATCCTGATGCTTGATTTTAAAATTTGCATACAGTTATTGCAAGAATTAAGTGAGAAAACATTTTGAGCACCAAACACAATGCCAGGAATGTAGAAATGCTCCTTGAAAAAAATCTCCCAAAACAAAAAATGAGCAGTAGTAGCACTTACTGAATTTAACTAAGTGACAAGATAAATAGTACTGTCAGTTAAGTGCTTTAGACCTTCAGAAAAAGCATAATTAATATGGGCTGGAGAAATGGGCTGGGGCTTGGAAGGTGACAGCATTCAGATGGGCAGGGAGAAAAGAATGTAAAAGCCAAGGGATGGCTTTTCCACATGAATAAAGGAATTCAGCGGTTATGATGTCTCAGGCTGTGGACTTCACCTGAAATGACTGAGATGGAAGATTTTGTGCCCGAGGAAGTGGGAAATTAAAGTTGAAAAGGTATATTGGGCAAATATTGAAGGCATTGGTGAGCAAGCCTAGGACTTGATTTGTGGGCCACGAACATTTTTGTGCTGTGTTGCATCAGGAAAAATTAACCTGGCCACAATGAGCCATGCTTTAGACTGGTCAGTTAGGATATGGGAGTTCAATTTGATCCATCATCAAACAGATGGGAAGTAAAGCGGTGTGGGCTCCAGCATGTGGCCCGTGACAGAGGACATGGAAAATGTCAGTGGCCCCAGTGCATCTGTGACAGCCGCTTTGGCCTCTTGTAGGGCTGCGCGGTGACTGGGAGCTAAGCGCTCCCCTCTTAGTTGGTCTTGGCTGGTGCTGAAAGCGCTTGAGCACACCGCTCCTAGGGCTGATGACTTCTGAGGAACCTTATTGGAAAAGCATTTTGCTCTAAGATTCAGTAAACGCTGTCCCGTGCCAAGGAAGTCGCGTCAACCTGAGGCTCTGGGATCAGACCCACCGGACTCACGCGGGCTCTGCCACGTGTTGCCCGCAGTCTCGGCCCGTTCCCTCCGCTTTGGTAACGGGCACTGACTGTCCGATACCTCAGCGATCGTAGGAGAGCAGAGACGTCCCTCATGCCGGGCGCACCACCGGCGGGCCGGCGGTTCCGTTGGCTTCCCTGACATACTTCCTACAGTCATTTCTTTCAGCTGAGATCTTCCCCTTTAATACCTCGTTAATTAACGTGTAACCTTTTGGTTAAAATGTCAGAGCTAAGACTAAATCTGAAGAAAAGAATGAAACCACCGTAAGTTCTTCAGACTCAGTCGTCAGCAAGGTTATGGCCCGAAGCCGTGCAGAGGCGGCGCGCGGGGAAGCTACTGGCAGAGCTGTGCGCACTGGGGGTGCTGCAGGCGCTGGGGAGAGTGTGGAGAGGCTGCGTGGAGCTGCGCGCTCGGGGTGGGGGCTGCACTCCCAATGAAGCGCGTGAAGGGCAAGCGGTGATGGGTTCTGCGCCAGTGGGGCTGGGAGCGTGTCGGGGGCTGTACGTGGGGCTGCGCGCAAGGTGAGAACTGCGCATCTAGGCTTGGGGACTGCGCGCACCAAAGGCTTGCAGGCGCTGGGGAGGGTGGGGGGGCTGTGCGTGGGGCTGCTCTCACCGGAAGCTGCACGCTCGGGGAAGCGCGGAGGCGGGGGTGCTGCGCGCTTGGGAGCACGTGGGGGAACACGCAGGGACTGCCGGCGCGAATGGCTTCGAACGCATGCGCCCCACCCGACATTTCACAGTCGCCATGACGACCGGTAGGTCCGCAACGGCTGCGGGGACAAGACCGTTGAGGCTGCCAGGCGAGTCAGGCCTTTCTGGACCTCGCCTGACTCGGCTGGGCTGTGCCTGAAATTGACCCAGCTCTATCAGGGATTATGAAAAAACAAGGAGTAAGCCCGAAGCCGCTGCAGTCTTCCCGCCCCAGCCAGTCTAAGCGGCGGTGCGGGCCTCCCCCTTCCCCCCCGCCTCCGCCCCGGAGCCGGAGGTAGAGGAGGTGGAAAAGTCGGCCCTAGGCGGCGGGAGGTCCTTCCGGCGGAGGATCCGAAATGTGGAAAATCGAAAAGGCTTGGAGCTAAAGGTGGTGGCCAAGACCCTTCTTCTCGGCCCCTTCCTGTTGGTCCGTAATTCCCTGGCGCAGCTCCGGGAAGAGGTGCACGAACTGCAGGCGTGGTGGTTCCCCAGCAGAACCACTTTGGACTTCGGTAAGGAGAGGGCAGGAGAGCTCCAGGAGGTAGCCGCATGGCGCTTTTCTTGAGTCTTGAAGGAGATCAGTTTAACAAGCAAGGGTTTGTGGGTGCCTAGTAGGAAATAAAAGCAAGGTCCGAATAGAAAGAAGTTGGCCAAAAATCTTGTCATTGAACCAGGGGAGAGAGAGAGATAGGGAGTATATTGGTCTGAAGGGCTGTCAGATCGCAGAGAGTGTTTTAAGGTCTAGGAGTTTTAAAGGCTGAGGGGAAGGATCAAGGGAAGAGGATCAGATTAAGATTCCAAGAGAGGAAATAATTAGTGGAGCAAGTCTTGGAATATTTGGAGGGGTAGAATTAAAGGCACAAATTTGAGAAGCTAACTGTGGAAAAGAGGAGAGAGAATTCCTTTTCTGAGATGGCAGGGAGTAGAAAAGCGAGGATTACTATATGGAGAAATGTTAAAGTGGAGATAAAAGAAGTTGGGAGTGCTGGCGTCTAATGGTCTTTGTTTCAGTGAAGTATGAGGCTGGGTCACCTTCAGAGGTGAGACTGATAGGATGCCGGGGTCCAGGGGACATGCTTCTGTCACAGCTTGGAAAGGGCATGTGATAAGCCCTTCAAGCATTTAGAATACTGGCATCGTTGCAACATATCATTTTTTTCAGATGTGGTATGTGGGTTAAGGGAGGGAGTGAGAGACACAGAAAGATTTTGAGCATCTTTGGAAAGCTGGATGAATTTGGTAGTATATTTGACCTTTTCCTTATATATCATCTGAAGAGTTTTTGCCAGTGTATATAATTGTTAGGAGAATTAGAAATAGGATACAAATATAGTTGAACAGGATAGTCTCTGTATATTTTAAAATTAATGAAGCCTAATAAACAGTTAATGAGCATCTTTACAACCATTTAAAGTTTTCAACCTTTTAAAAATTATAGCAACCGTGCTTGCAGACAGTCCAAAAATACACCATGGGCCATACTTTGCCTATCCTGGTATAAAACAAGTAAATCTTCCAAGAAGTATTTAAGATAAGCCCAGGACAGTTAGTAATATAGGAAAAGATCTGGGTAAGCATGGTTGACAATTTCAACATTGCAATTTTTTAATTTTTAAAAATTTAATTTCTTCAATAATTATTGAATTAATTTGCATTTATTTTGTTAGCCAAGTGAAGTAATTTTTGAATTTTTAAGAGGCTATTATTGGTGGTTTGTAAGATGACTTGCCAAGTATATTTGGGATAACCATAAGAAATACCATTATAAAATCTCAGAAGGGAGGTAGGACTTCTGGAATAGCCAAGGAAATGCACTCCTCCATGACGACAATGAAAATACTTGGAAAATTATCAAAATCATTTTCTTCAAAACTTTGGAAATTAACCAAAGGTTTACAACAATCTAAAGGGCATTAATTCAAGAAAAGCTGCTGAACCTCTATAAGAATAGCAAAGTTTGTGGTGTTTTAACTTGTTCTATTCCCCACTCTTCTCTCTCCAGGGGAATTGAAAACAAGCAATTCCCCAACCAAACAGGGGCACAGGCTGCGTTTGCAGCTCCTGTAAAAGCTCCATACCCAGAGCAGTGTCTCCCAGCTCCCAGGTGAAGTCTTATGTATACATGGGGCGTTGGCACAGGTGACTCCAGACTAGTCTCCTAGGCCATCTAGTAGCTTCTAGGTCTCGGCTCTTGTAAAGAGCTTGCAATTCATCAAGGGTTGAGCTGCACATTGGGGCTTTTAGATGTGCTGCTGAGGAAGTGATTTCCTGCATTTAATCATCTTCTGATGAATGCTAGAGAAACTGATCTAGAGTGGCTCCTCTTGGTTAGAACTAGCTGAAGCATACTGTATATACTTACTTCTTTTAAAAATTTCATATAAAGGAATAGAAAATAATACTGAAAAAAAAAAAACAAAAAAGGTCGCAATCTTCCATAATTCCATCACTCTTACCAATTACCTGAAGTAAAAAAACCCTCTCAAGTTTCTCCCTTTGCTTATCAAGCCCTGCTGCAGAGAGGTAAGCTCTGTTCAGAATTTGCTTTGTGTCCTGGATTTTTTCCTATGCTCATAGAGACAGGATTAGCTGGCCATCTTGCTTTGTGTGCTATCTTTCTAGACATGTAAAATACTACATTTGAAATACTTGTTTTAATGGTATTTTATAATAAAGCAGCTATTAATAACTTTCCTTTTTTTCTTTATTCCAGCAGTCCTTGTGGCTTATCTCCATTGGTAAGATTTAGTTTCAGTTTGAAATATTTAAAAACATTTGAATTAAAAATTGCCATCTCTCTTTGCATACAGTAAAACAATAACTTCTGGCTATATTTGTAGAACATCTTTATGTGCACCAATTTATACATGTATTTTGCTTTTTTACAAACCTCATATGTGAAACAGCATTTACAAAATAGATGCATTAGGGGAATAGTAACTTACGAATTAAAATATTTTTGCTTTACTAAATAATTCACCACACGTTTCTTTAAATATCTAGCTTTTCTAGTGTATTTTGCATGTGTAGTTCATTTAAAACCTTCCTTTATTTTATGGTAATTATATGTTGCTAGTGAAATAACTTTTTTTTTTTTTTTTTTTTGAGACAGAGTCTTGCTCTGTCTCCCAGGCTGGAGTGTAGTGGCGTGATCTTGACTCACTGCAACCTCTGCCTCCCAGGCACAAGTGATCCTCGCGCCTCAGCCTTCCAAGTAGCTGGGATTACAGGTGTGCACCACCACACCCAGCCAATTTGTTGTATTTTTGGTGGAGACAAGGTTTCACCATGTTGGCCAGGCTGGTGTCAAACTCCTGGCCTCAAATGATCCACCTGCCTCGGCCTCCCAAAGTGTTGGGATTACAGGCATGAGCCACCACATTCAGCCAGTGAAATAACTTTGGTGATAAAGTTTTAGCAACACCTGCCAATTGGAAATCAGTTAAAAAAGAAGTTAAAGATTCTGCAGTGGTTATATGGTTAAATGGCTCTGAGTCTTTCAGTGTGCAAGCCTGTGTACATTATTTTACAAAAGTGTTTATAAAAATTTGTAAAATAATATTTCCTTCTGGAATATTTTATTTTTACCTGTGCTCAGTGATTTCTACCCTTGGGAGGTATGAGATCTGCCCCTATGTTCTATTGACACAGTGCTGCTCTAGACATTTAGTCTGCAGGGAGATTTTGATGTTAGAACTGAGGCTGCAATGGTAGGGAATATTCCTGCAGTATTTGGTACCCTGGCATATGGCCTACATGTAAAGAAGGGTTAGTGGAAAACAGGGTTAATATATGGAACTTTGCTTTATTTTCAACTTCACTGGAAAGTACTGACTACATAAGTTAGCTATAGCATAATTGTTGGCCATAGCTAATTTTGTTTATCACATATGCTCTTTTCTTCACTGCCTATAGCTGTTGAGTTTCACTACTAAAAGGTCTTCAAGTACACACCTGTATTCTTTGGCACTTGAAAGTTGATCCTTTATGTGATATTATACTTATTGTAAGTCTGCTTTGATCTAAAGTAATTTTATTTAAAATTATATTCTGAACCCTTTTCAACAGTTATGGAGGTATTTCCCAAGGCTGGTACATTAGAATCACTTGAAACTTAAAAAACAAACACTAACCTGCCTCTGTTCCGATTTAGAGGCCTGGGATGGAAGGAAGGGTGAAAAAAGCCACAAGAATTTTAGATATACAATTAAGGTTTTTGTTTTGTTTTGTTTTGTTTTGTTTTGTTTTGTTTTGTTTTGTTTTGTTTTTGAGACATGATCTCTGCTCACTGCAACCTCCACCTCCTGGGTTCAAGAAATTCTCCTGCCTCAGCCTCCCTAGCAGCCAGGATTCAGACATGCACTACCATGGCTGGCTAATTTTTGTGTTTTTAGTAGAGACGGGGTTTCACCATGTTGGCAAGGCTGGTCTCGAACTCCTCACCTCAAGTGATCTGCCCGCCTCGGGCTCCCAAAGTGCTGGGATTACAGGCATGAGCCAATGTACCCGGCCACAATTAAGCTTAAAAACCACTGAGTTAAGGAATTTCAGGTGTGTGCCGTACTGGATTATAAATGCTGAAAAACATACAAGTTAGTAAGCAAATTATAAAATTAATATTATAACAATTGTTTTCTTTTTTATGGCTTTCTTATTGTTTATTTTACTGTTAGTTTTGAAACTTGTTCTTATTGTAATATGATTCTTCATTTTTTTCTAGGTTACATTTAGTAAAACTTTGTGAAAATTATCGTCATTTCTCTCACCTCTCATCTTTGGAACGGGAGATGACTTTTTGCACCAAAATGGTTAGGTTTCTTCTTCTAACGAATTAATTTGTGGTTTAAGAATAGCGAGACTATGAGGTAGAGATGTATTAGGAATTGAAATGAACTTTTGGTGAACTGCACTGTTTCATAAGCTATAACCCAGGTTTATTATTTAAATAGTAAAGTGTTTGAGATTATTTTTCTGTTACTTCATTATCTCTCACCCTTTCCTAATGCAGACTTCTTTTTAAGATAATAAAGATGAATTATAATAGCTGAGGAAGGAGAAGAATGCAAGCTCTGAAATGACATCCTTAAATGCTGATACTGGTTACAACCTCTTTACCTCTCTGAGGAAATTGTAACAGTGTGTCTTTTAGGGTGTTTTTATTTTACCAGCCCTTAAGAAAGATCTCTAATACGTTTTAATGCTTTTTTTTATAATTTCAAGTTGAAGTGTTTTTAAAAACACCTTGTTTTGTAATGTTTTGAATCTCTTGAGATGTATTTACCCCACTAGATACATATTTGCCACTGGTTAGTTCTCCATCTAAGCTCAAGAGGTTATTCATCTCTCTTTAGATTCCAGTGGTTTTTCTTTTAACTTCCAGGTAAAATAGAAACTGCTATGGTATACAACCAAATTTTGGGGTTAAACATAATCAGAAAAGAAAATCCAGTTAAATTTATGAAGTGAGATTTTCAGATCCTAGATCTTGAATATAGCAAAGGTCTTTTCATCTTGATGGCCCCAAAGCTTGTTGGTCATAGTCTATTTCTGGCCATTATCTTCTTAAATAATCTATTTTTAAGCCCTCATTTATTTTTGGTTTTGGATGAGGAAAGTCATGTTTTCTAAGTCCTCTCCCCTAATAAAACCTACCCAACAATAGTGCTTTGAAAAGTGGTAGTTATCTTGAAGATACTCTTGCCAAATGCAAAGATAAACATTCTTTTTGTCTGCTTTATAAATATGAAATATGCCAGATCTATAGTATTTTAATGTGCATCTACTTTAAATGAGTCATCTTGGGGTTTTTATAATTCCCTTACATTCTTGCCCCTCTACACTTGAAATAACAAAATACCTTAATTTTATAGATTAGTTCTCTTATAGTAGACAGGCAGCTATATGCAGCAAAACCAATAAAGTTATTTTTCAACTTTCATAGTTGTAAAATATTTTATAGCAATACAAAACAGCTAAGAAAACATGCCACATTTTATTTTAGCATTTTCAAATAATTTGTTTTTGGTGTAAGCACAGGATAAAAAAGGAGAGCGTCAAAGAAAAGAGACATAACACCTAACATTCATAAAAATTAACAAAGTATATTTTGGATGATATTTTTACAGGAAATATTTTAAATAAGTTGGTAGAATTTTTAAAATGGTACTGTATTAGCTAATAAAATATTCAGTACAAATATATGTTTGGATTTATGCATTAAAAAACTAATAAAATTATTTCCAACTTTTGTATTTGTAAATTATTTTGGTACAGGAGACAAAGCATCTAAGAAAGCATGCTGCACATTTTACTTATTTTAGCATTGTCATATAATCTGTTTCAGTGATGTGTGGGGCAAAAAAGGAAAAGAGACATAACACCTAACATTCATAAAATTAAAGTAACACATTTCAGATGATGTTACAGTAGCAAAGACTTGTAACTAACCCAAATACCCATCAATGATAGACTGGATAAAGAAAATATGTCACATACACACCATGGAATACTATGCAGCCATAAAAAAGGATGAGTTCATGACCTTTGCAGGGACGCGGGTGAAGCTAGAAGCCATCGTTCTCAGCAAACTAACACAAGAACAGAAAACCAAACACCATATGTTCTCACTCATAAGTGGGAGTTGAACAATGAGAACTCATGGACACAGAGAGGGGAACATCACACACCAGGGCCTATTGGTGGGGGGTGGGGGTGGGGGGCAAGGGGAGGGAGAGCATTAGGACAAATACCTAATGCATGCAGGACTTAAACCTTAAATGACAGGTCGATAGATGCAGCAAACCACCATGGCACATGTATACCTATGTAACAAACCTGCATGTTCTGCACATGTATCCCAGAACTTAAAGTAAAATAAATTTTAAAAAGTCAGTAGAACTCAACAAAAAATGGATGAGCTGTACTAATAAAATGTTCCATACACATATGATGTTTTCATATATATTTATGTTATTTTCATGTACTATCTGTGTTAAGTAACTGTAAAGCCCTTGAAGATCCTGTTTTCTGTCTTTTCTCATCCTTCACAATGCATACATTTTGAAATTGAAATTGTTCTCATATAAAGGGAGAAATCATAGGTTGCTGGGCTTACTAGCCATGTTTACACTGGCAGTGCTCTTTCTTAGCCATTTAAAAATGATTCTGTATAGTCTTACACAGAAGGCAATATACTATGATGGAAATAGTGTGAGCTGTGTAATGAGATGTATCTAAGTTTGAATACTGCTTCTTCCATTAGTTAGGTACCACCATGTATTCAAAAGATATTCATTAAACACTTACTGTATGTCAGGCACCATGCTATGGTTGGTCATGTTACTTAACTCCATGAGCTTTCTTCACCTGTAAAGCAGAACTCACAATACCTACTTGGCAGGGTCATTATGAGGATTAGTGAAACAAAGTTTTGAAGTACCTGGCACATAAAGGCACTCAACAAACATTAGTTTCTTCTGCACTACCCCCTACAGCTCACTAATAACCATTTTAGTAATATCAAGTTACAGAGTGAGGTTAGCTCATTTCAGAATTCCAAATAGTCTCACCTTTATTTGACGTCAACAAATAGGAGTACTGGGCTGCAGCTTGTTCTTATGCAAATTGTTCTACTGAATTCTTGCCTGTATAAATTTTATTTTTTATTCTTTTGAAACATGAGAAGATTTTCACTTAATTCAATGAAGCTTTTTCCATAGTTTCTAGGATCCTATGTTTGCACACTAATCTGAAACTATGGCTAGAAGTGAGGTGCACACAAGCTGCAACAATTCCTTCATCTGCTTCATCCAGTTGTCAGAAGCAAATGCACAGCTTCAACAGTATCTGTGTTGCTTTGCTGCTGGTAGACACCAAAAATCTGAGTACTTTAATAATAAAATTATGTTTATATTTTTATACATTACATGTTCCTATTATACATGAAGGACAAACTCATAGAAAAATTAGTTTTGAAAAAAACAGGACATTTTAAAGAAGGGGACAATTATATATATACATACACATAGCAGCAAAAATGGCAATAGCTCAAAAGTGGTTAAGATATACATACAGACACTGCAATGAACATCTTAGTGCATACTTTGTGATTTTAAAGTTATTTCCACAGGATAGATTTCATAAAGTTAAATTTCCTTAAATAAATTGTGGACACCCTTAAAGCCTTCAATGCAGTTAGCCTCAAATTACCTTTGCAAAGCTATGTGTGCACCTTTTGGATTGTATGCACCACCAAAAGTTAGTGTGTATAACAATGCTCATTTTACAACACTCTCATTGGGATTAATTAGCCTTATTAAGAATATATTTTGCTAATTTGTGAGGCCCAAAATAGTATTTGTTATTATTTTCATTTGTATTTGTTCTATGTCCAGAAAAACTCACAATATTCTTTAGAAAGTGTATGTCTCTGAAGCTCTGTATGGGTTCATATTCTTTGATTCATTGAGTCTCTTCATAAAGGATGGGGATTGAGATAAGGGGAAAGAAAAACCTTTGAAAATTCTTAATAAGAGAAATATAAGGACATTTTCAAAAGGACAGGTATATATATAACTTCATGCACAAAAGTCAAATTTAAATGGGTCAAGGACTTAAATGAAAGTAAAATATTTAAAGTCTTAGAAGAAAATAGAGAAATACAGATTAAAACCACATGGTAACATTTACATGTCAGATAAGAATTGGTGAGGACAGGGTGCCACAAGAACTCTCATGAAATTATAGTAGGAGTGTAAATTGGTACAGACACCTTAGAAAATAAGTTGTTAATTCCTAATAAGTTTTAAAGTATGTAGTCTCTGCAATTTATAGTTTCACCCTAAAGAAATGTTGTTACAAATATACCAAGGAAACCAATTACAAGAATCTTCATGGAAGCATTATTTGTACCTGAGAAAAAAAAGCTGAAAACAACTCAAAGGCCCACCAACAGAATGGATAAAATGAATATTTCCATACAACGTAATATTGTAAAGGAATGAATGTGATCTACAGTCACAAGCATCAGTGAGAACCAATGTCAAATAGACTGTTAAAGATAAAAAACTAAGTCATCAAAGGGGATGTGTGTGCATGTCAATATATATGCCATTTACATAGGGCCTAAAAGCAAACAAGACAATATTATAGAAGATATAGTGTGGCAAAACAGCGAAAGCGTAGGCATAATTAATTCAAAACATAGGCTGGTGATCACTTCTAGGAAAGAATGCAATACAGGAGAAGCCCTGGGTGCTTCAATGTTAATATTCAATTTCTTGGTGTTAAGTATACAAGTGTTCATTTTATAATTCTTTAAAATGTGTGTTTATATATGTATATAATGCTTATATATTTATACTCTTCAAAGTAGGGCTTTTATTCCTCATCAGTGGTTCTTAAACCTCATGTTCTCTTTAGGTAACTCTGGGAGCTTAAATAAGCATCAAGAGTTGTTCTGATGACACGTCCAGCTATTCAAATAAATGTTCAAATTGTAGATTTTATTGTTTCCATTTGTGCAATGTATTTTTTTCCTTCCAACTTCTATTTTAGGTGCAGGAGTACATTTGCAGGTTTGTTATATAGGTAAATTGCATGTCATGGGGTTTGGTGTACAGATTATTTTGTCACCCAGGTAATAAGCATAGTACCTGATAGGTATTTTCTCAGTTCTCGCTCTCCTCCCACCCTCCACCCTCAAATAGGCCCTGGTGCCTATTATTCCCTTCTTTTTGTCCATGTGTGCTCAGTGTTTAGCTCCTACTTATAGGGAGCACATACAGTATTTGGTTTTCTGTTCTGTATTAGTTCACTTAGGATACTGGCCTCCAGCTCCATCCATGTTGCTGCAGAGGACGTGATCTCATTTTTTTATATGGCTGTATAGTATTCCATGGTATATATGTACCACATTTTCTTTATCCATTCCACCATGGGTGGGCATTTAGGTTGATTCCATGTCTTTGCTATTGTGAATAATGCTGCAATGAACATACGTGTATATGTGTTTTTATGGTAGAACAATTTATATTCCTTTGGGTATATATCCAGTAATGGGATTGCTGGGTTGAATGATAGCTCTGTTTAAATTCTTTGAAAAATCTCCAAACTGCTTTCCACAGTGGCCAAACTGGTTTACATTTCCACCAGCAGTGTATAAGTGTTCTCTTTTCTCCACAACTTCACCAGCATCTTTTTTTTTTTTTTTTTTTTTTTTTTTTACTCTTTCATCATAACTATTCTGACTAGTGTGAGATGGTATCTTACTGTGGTCTTGATTTGCATTTCTCTAATGATTAGTGATGGTGAACATTTTTTCATATGCTTGTTGCCTACATGCACGTCTTCTTTTGAGAAGTGTCTGTTCACACTTTTTGCCCATTTTTAATGAGGTTGTTTGTTTTTGCTTGTTGATTTAAGTTCCTTATAGGTGCTGGATATTAGACCTTTGTCAGATGCATAGCTTGCAAGTGTTTTCCCCCATTCTGTAGGTTGTGTGTTTACTCTGTTGATAGTTTCTTTTACTGTGCAGAAGCTCTTTAGTTTTATTAGATCCCATTTGTCAATTTTTGTTTTTGCTGCAATTTCTCTTGGCATCTTCATCATGAAGTCTTTGCCAAGGCATATGTCCATGGCCTTTCTTGTTTTCTTCTAGGGTTTTGATAGTTTTAAGGTTTACATTCAAATCTTTCATCCATCTTGAGTTGATTTTTGTATATGGTGTAAGGAAAGAGTGGTACAGTGTCTTAAAAATTACCAGATTGTGTTTCATAGGATTTTGAAAAAAAGATGTCATTCATAGAAATTGCATTAAAATTCACATCTCTCAGGATGTGTTTCTTCATCTGTACATAGGTGATAATACCTACCTCATAGAATTATGAGGATCAAGCCAAGTGTTCCATGTCAATGTGCATTATTAAGAGCTACACATGTGATCCATTTTAATACCACCAGACAATAGGCCAACTTTGAATTGGATGTTAATAAAAAAGCTATGATGTATTCATAATCCAAAAGAGCAAATAAGATTATTTATATTTGACTTAGAATAATTTTTTGAGGAGCTTTTGCAGCTACTGACTTCTTTAGTATGCTTGCCTGAGATTAAAATAGATATTGACTTACTTATTGTGCTTTTCTGAGGTTAAAATTCTTTCATATCCTTTGAGCACATATAGATAATGGCTTTTACTTTTAAAATTTTCTTCCAAGAGATACATATAACTCATATGTAAATATTGAGATTATTCAGATGAAGCTGCAAAGCCAGTTCACAGAATATACTGGATTGAATCATATCCAAGAACCTATGAATTTTATTTAAAAAGCACCTCAGCTATTGAAAAGAGCAAGACTGTTTACACAGCTTCATACAGACCTAAGAAATACAATGGAGATCATATACAAGAGTTATTTCTTTAACAAGGATGGTGTGGCAGCCACAAAATACACCACCTTTAGGGTATTCCTCTGAGAACCTGCTGTCCAGCTGCAGGGAGCACAGGTAACTGACAGCCTTCAACTGTAGCGCCATCAGCATCTGCATGGCATTCACTCTGGGTCACATTCTTCCTGGGTAACCCCCAGCCAATGACCGAGCAAGGAAGATATACTAGTCTGTTCTCACATTGCTATAAGGAAATACCCAAGACTGGGTAATTTACAAAGGTAAGAGGTTTAATTGACTCACAGTTCAGCATGGCTGGGGAGGCCTGAGGAAACTTACAATCATGGCAGAAGGTGAAGGAGAAGCAAGCCACCTTCTTCCCAAGGTGGCAGGAAGGAGAAATGAACACAGGAGAAACTACCAAACACTTACAAAATCATCAGCTCTCGTGAGAACTCACTACCACGAGAACAGCATGGGAGAAAACACCCCCATGATTCAATTACATCCACCTGGTCTCTCCCTTGACATGTGGGGATTATGGGGATTACAATTCAAGATGAGATTTTGGGTGGGGACAGAGCCAAACCAGATGAGAAGGGTACTGTAGGGCCTGGCTGTTTTGGCCCAATGCTGAACTGCTTCATCAGGCAATCTTTGCTCTGAAGCTGCTCACTGAGCAAGCCAAGCCCTGGTCAGCCGTCCTTTGCAACTGAAGGCTCTCCTGCTTTCTTCCTCTTTCATAGATGTCAACGGGCTGAAGGCTTTACCCACCCAATCCTGCTCCCCCTCCTCTAACAGCTATGACACCTTCCTAGTTTCACCCCTTCACCCATTCCAGTTTTACATAAGTTTTCCTCACTACACAGAGATGGTGCCACCAAGACCTTATTCATTTTACAACCTTACTGGGATCCCCTAATGAAATCCCTCTGAGACTATAGCACAGTAGACCCTGGCAGAAGACAGGACCCGGTACCTATAAGATGCCTTTCCTATCTCACGGATCCAGACCATTGTCAGATTTTAGAGTTCCTAGTATGGAGAAAAGTCCCTTGGGAACAGTAGAACCTGGACTGAACTCTTTTAAAATAAGTAGGAGGTAGGCGCCTGTGGTCCCAGCTACTCGGGAAGCTGAGGCAGAAGGATCGCTGGAGCCCAGGATGCAGAGAGACACGATGGCGCCACTGCACTGCAGCGTGGGCAACAGAGTAAGACTGTCTCAAGAGAAAAAAAAAAAAGTGACAGTGTGCAAAATGTTCATTTTATGTATACTTAGTGCCATGTGCTGACTATGAAATATGATAGCATTTGTCATGAAATTACAAAAAGTGTTAAGGTGCTAGTTTGCACGTTTTCATGGAAAATGGGAGAAAGCAAGAGAACTCAAGGACATGCACTACATTTGTTTTAGTTTTGTTTGAGTTGTGATTATCTCAGTGGCTCTTCTCTCCCTCACCCACCCACCTCTCCTATTTGTTCAATCTCTCTCCCTCGTCTGGTGCCTTAAAAGGGTCTCCATGCTTTGCATCCCTCCTCCACTCCACGATCAGGGACCCACCCGGCATCACACGTTCTGCTTCAGCAACAATGAACTGCTGGAAATTTCCAGCAACTCTTTTTCCTGCCAGTGCTCACACTGTACCCTTGCCTGTTAAGGTCTTACCTGTCTTCCTCGCACACCCCTGCCTCTCACCTGCTCAGAAGTCCCCTCCTGCCAGCAGCCAGTCCTGACCATCCCCTCTGTGATCTGCTAATGCCACTCCACCTGTCACATAGTTCGATCACTTAAAAATGATCTGTTTTCCTTTGAAGTCTTTCATTGAACTCTGAATTACTTAATAAAAAGGTTTGTATATTATTTATTCCTGTTTTCCACCCGACACAGTACCTGGAAGATAGTAGATGCTCAGCAAACATTGCACAAAAGAATAATGTGGAAAATAAATGGTTAAAACATAGAAAAATTTTAAAGATAGGGTATTTGGGTCACTTTTACTGTTTTCTGTCCCTACAATATGGCTGAATCATCCCCCATATGGCTCAACATTTTCTTAATTCTTTTAAAAGTACCCAACACTATATTGAGTGCTCTGGGGATCAAAATAATAGTATATATATTAAGGCTGGGTTTGAATCTCTGCTCTACCATTTACTAGCTGGGCAATTTATATAACATTTTAAAATTTCATCATCTGTAAAGTGGAAATATTAAAGGTATCTTCTTCAAAAGTGACATTTGGAAGAAAAAAATAAAGTAATACATATAAAGCATATGAGATTCAGTAAGCACTCGGTTAGTGGTGAGTTGTTTTTGTTGCTTTTGCTAAGACCCAGGAACCCATTGTTTGAAGATCAGCATAGAGCACTAACTTGTTGGATGGGATTTGTGTTCTCTACTCAATGATTTGTTTATTCTTTAGAGACTGTCTGTCCCCTCTAGAGTCTATTATTAATATTTTCTAATGCCAATTTATGGGAGTTTTACTATTGTGCTGTTTCTCTAATAATAGCTAATTTATATTTTTAATTTTTAAAAGCCATTATGCTGGAAACAGAGCATTCATACAAACAATACACGAATGAATGTAGGTTATACTGCAAAATAGCTGGTTACTATAATGTAGTTGTATTCCATGGCTTTAAGTTTAAAAATAACTTCGCATTTACTAGAGTGGACTTACCCTCCAGGCATAAAATTTTAAAACCCAACAACTCCAGGCCTCCAGAGTCTTTACTTCCCACTAACTTCTCACCAGTGAAGGCGAAGCTAATGAAAAAGGATAGATGACTGCTTCTCAATTGGAAATGGATCCAAATGCCATCAAGGGAATTGGTGTCGGTATACAGATTTTACCTACTGTCACAGCCTGGTTGGGTGGAGGATGGGGAAGGTGGTGGTATCGGTCTACTTTTAGAGTTTTAAATGTTTCTCTGAATTCCTGTAGCAGACAATTTTGAGAAAATTTTGCCTAGAGAAAGAGTCTGAAACCAAAAAGCTAAGCAGAGGCAAAGGTTTGCAGCTTGGATCTTTAACATTAATAAGTCTGTTGCTTTTTCCTACCTCCCACTCCTGCTACCTGAAGAAGGTGAGTAGGAGGGGAGGGATGGTGAAAGAGGAGGGATATGGAGGGAAAAGGACATAAGTGGTGGTTGGGTAGATGACAGATAGTGGTTGTCTGCCTGCCGCCCATCTAGGTATGCCCCCACGGGTGGCCTCTGCTTTTGCCCACAGGGGACTCATTCACGCACAAAGGAAGGTGACAGACAATTGGCCAGAACATAGAGCACTGAAATGAAACACAAAGGCCACTCTTGGGCCTCTGTGTTTCATCACAATTATATTAGTTTGCTAGGGCGCCATCACCAAGTACCACAGACAGGTGTCGGAGATCAAGGTATCTATCAGCAGGGTTAGTTTCTTCTGGGATCTTTCCTCTTGATTTGCAGATAAGCGTTTTCTCCCTGTGTCTTCACATGATGTTTCCTCTATGCCTGTTGTATCCTAACCTCCTTTTCATATAAATTCACAATTGAGCACATAACTCCTATTTAATACCATATGTTGGAATAAAAAGCCTTATAGCAATGCATAGGATAGAAATTCTTTTCTTTAAAACTTAGAGTATTTTGCAGTAATGAAAAATGGTCCTGACATACAGAATGCCATCTAGCTTACACCTGCATGGGGCATGCACGGCATGAGGCATGAAGAAGAAAGAGATGAGCAATCCTTACCTGAAAAGAGACCACCCTCTCCTTTAATGGGAGGAGAAATTAAAGAATAATTTAATGGGAGGGGAAATTAAAGAAAAATGCCCATAGTTTGCTGCAAACACTATTGCTCAATTTAATACTGTAATGGAATCTACAATGTGTGTACAATCATTGTTAACTATACCTTTATTATCTTTATAATGTTGAGGTAAAGAGCTTTCTGCTATTATGCATTAATAACTCCATCCCTAATGCCATCATGGTTCTAGTGTCCAGGGAAGGAGTCTGTATTAGTCTGTTTTCACACTGATATAAAGAATACCACCAGAGACTGGGTAATTTATAAAGAAAGGAGGTTTAATTGACTCACAGTTCTGCATGGCTGGGGGGGGCCTCAGGAAATTCACAATTATGGTGGAAGACAAGGCACATCTTACATAGCAGCAGGTGAGACAGAGAGAGAGAGAGAGAGAGAGAGAACAAACCAGGAAGTGCCACACTTTAAAACCATCAGCTCTCATGAGAACTCACTCACTATCGTGAGAACAGCATGGGGGAAACCACCTCCATGATCCAATCACTTCCCACCAGGTTCCTCCCTTGACACCTGAGGATTACAATTTGAAATGAGATTTTGGTGGGGACACAGAGACAAACCATATTATTTCACCCCTGGCCCCTCCAAAATTTCATGTCCCTTTCAAGTTTCAAAACCAACCATTCCTTCCCAACAGTCTTAAAGTCTTAACTCATTCCAGTATCAACCTGAAAGTCCAAGTCCAGAGTCTCATCTAAGACAAGGCAAGTTCCTTCTACCTATGAGTCTGTAAAATAAAAAGCAAGTTAGTTACTTCCAAGATACAATAGGGGGCCAGGTGCAGTGGCTCACACCTGTAATCCCAGCACTTTGGGAGGCTAAGGCAGGTGGATCACCTGAGGTCAGGAGTTCAAGACTAGCCTACCCAACATGGTGAAACCCCATCTCTACTAAAGATACAAAAATTAGCTGGGTGTGGTGGCTGGCGCTTATAGTCCCAGCTACTTAGGAGGCTGAGGCAGGAGAACTGCTTGAATGTGGGAGTTAGAGGTTGCAGTGAACCGAGATCGCACCAGTGCACTCCAGCCTGGGTGACAGAGGGAGACTCCATCTCCAAAAGAAAAAAAAAAGATACAGTAGCAATACAGGCATTGGGTAAGTATTCCCATCCAAATAGGAGAAATTGGCCAAAACAAAGGGCCCACAGGCCACATGAAAATCTAAAACCCAGCCGGGCAGTCATTAAATCTTAAAGCTCCAAAATGATCTCCTTTGACTCCATGTCTCACACCCAGGGCATGCTGATGCAAGGCGTGGGTTCCCATGGCCTTGGGCAGCTCCACCCCTGTGGCTTAGCAGGGTACAGCCCCTCCAGCTGCTTTCATGGGATGGCAATGAATGTCTGTGGCTTTTTCAGGTGCAAGGTGCAAGCTGTTGGTGGATCTACCTTTCTGGGGTCTGGAGGATGGTAGCCCTTTTCTCACAGCTCCACAAGGCAGTACCTCAGTGGAGACTCTGTATGGGCACTCCAACCCCACATTTCCCTTCTGCACTGCCTAACAGAGGTTCTCAATAAGGGCTCCACCCCTCTTGCAGACTTCTGCCTGGACATCCAGGCTTTTCCACACATTCTCTGAAATCCAGATGGAGGTTCTGAAAGCTCAACTCTTGTATTCTGAATACTCACAGGCCAAACATCATGTGGAAGCTGCCAAGGTTTTGGGGCTTGCATTCTCTGAAGCAATGGTCTGAGCTGTACCTTGGCCCCTCTTAGCCACAGCTGGAGCTGGAGTGGCTGGGATGCAGGACACCATGTCCCAAGGCTGCACAGAGCAGCAGGGCCCAGGGCCCTGAGGACATTTTCCCTCTTAGGCCTTTGGGCCTGTGATGGGAGGGGCTACTTTGAAGATCTCTGAAAGGCCCTGGAGACATTTCCCCCATTGTCTTGGTGATTAACATTTGGCTCCTTGTTACTTATGCAAATTTCTGCAGCTGGCTTGAATTTCTTCCCAGAAAAATTTCTACCACATAGTCAGGCTGTACATTTTCCAAATCTTTATGCTCTGCTTCCCTTTTAAATATAAGTTCCAATTTCAAACCATCTCTTTGTGAGCGCATGTAACTGAACGCTTTCAGAATCAACCAGATTACCTCTTGAATGCTTTGCTGCTTAGAAATTTCTTCTGCCAGATACCCTAAATCATCTCTCTTAAGTTCAAAGTTCCACAGATCTCCGGAGCAGGTGAAAAATGCTGCCAGTCTCTTTGCTAAAGCATAGTAAGAGTGACCTTTACTCCAGCTCCCAATAGGTTCCTCATTTACATCTGAGACCATCTCAGCCTGGACTTCATTGTCTATATCACTATTAGCATTTTGGTCAAAACAATTCAACAAGTCTCTAGGAAGTTCCAAACTTTCATTTATCCTCTTGTCTTCATCTGAGCCTTCCAAACTGTTCCAACCTCTGCCTGTTATCCAGTTCCAAAGTTGCTTCCACATTCTCAAGTTATCTTTATAGCAGTACCACACTACCTTGGTACCAATTCTCTGTATTAGTCCGTTTTCACACTGCTATGAAGAATACCACCAGAGACTGAGTATTTATAAAGAAAGGAGGTTTAATTGACTCATAGTTCTGCATGGCTGGGGAGGCCTCAGGAAACTTACAATCATGGTAGAAGGTGAAGGGGAAGCAAGGCACATCTTACATGCGGCAGGCAACAGAGAGAGAGAGAGAGACTGCAAGAGAGAGAGAGAGAGAGAGACAGAAAGCAAGAGAGCGAGAGCGAGCATCAGGAAGTACCACACTTTAAAACCATCAGCTCTTGTGACAACTATCATGAGAATAGCATGGGGGAACCACCCCCAAGATCCAATCACCTCCCACCAGGTTCTTCCCTTGGCACCTGAGGATTACAATGCAAGATGAGATTTCAGTGGGGACACAAAGTCAAACCATATCAGAGTCTTCCTCTTAAAATTCATGGAAAGGTCATATCTATCTAATCTCTCTCTGATGCTTCTTTTGGCAGTATCACTAAAGACATTTCCATCCCAGAGAGTAGATGTGGAGGATGTCAGATTCAGAGAGAAAAAATTATTTGTCATTGGTTACAACCACAAAACCATTTACTATAGTTTTAATATTGTGAATATCTGTTCTGATCCCAACAGATCATCAGTCAAGTAGAGAAAAATAGAACAAACTATTTCTAGAGTGTCTAAAGGATTCATTCTATCATTTTAGTAGATGATATACATGACCATCAACATTCAGTCATTTCATGAATAAGACAAGACATTATAATTTACCTTAGAGTGAAGCTGTTCTCATAGAATTTACATTGTGCAATTTTGCTTTTTCACATGAATAAATTAGGGGCTCAGGAAGCAGAAGGACAAATAAGGCAGAGAACAAGCAGGAAAAATAATTGAGGTAGGACCAGTAATCCATGGAGGATCCCCAACTTCAGGTGAAAGCATAGAATATATCTGAATGTGAGAGTTGAGCCAAAGATAGACTCATTTATCCATGGACTAATGGATAGTCAAATACTAGTAAAAATAATAATAATAGCCATCATTTACAGGCTTACTCTTTGCTAGACTCTTTATATATTATATAATTTAATCTTTAGGACATCTTAGTAAAACTGTTCTGCAGATGAGAAAATTGGGTCTCAGAGATGTCAAGTGCCTTTCTTAAGGCCCTCCAACTAGACAGGGGCAAAGCTTTTAATTAGATTTGGGCCTGTCTAATCCATTGATACAATCAAACAAAACCACTGTGCCCTGGATGGAAGTCATTAATTTAAGGGCAAGTAGAACTGGACACCTAGAAACTAAGAGATCCAGGAGTTCTCATTGTATATTTGGGACTAGGTGGTAGAGGACATGAAGAACAAGGAATAGCTGGCTGGGAATGAAAGCACTGACCCTCCTGCAAGAGAAAAGTAAGACAGAAACCATGTAGTTGAAGAACCCAGATTCCAAAGGTTATCTCAAGCATTGTTTCAAAAATTGTTGACGAAGCAAATTACTCAGCTCTTCTCATCCAAAACCTTCTCGGCTTGGCGTAGACCTGGAATCCAGGGCAGGACTGAACCTCAGGGATGGGGACCAGTGTCCACCAGTGCACACGGTGGAGAGGGGAAGGGAAGAAAGCCAAAAGGCCATTAATTAAACCCAGGGACTCCTGGCTCCCAGCAGGATCCTATTCTTTCTCTTCCCACAGTAAGAAGCTAGTGGGGAGATACAGACACCAGGTGAATCCCTCAGCTGACTAGTCAGCTGTAGGATAACTGGGAAAGTGAGAGGATCCTGCGTCCTCTTGAGGAAGTGCAGCTTTCTGCTGTCCAGGCTCTGGAGTCCCTGCTAGATTTGCTCACACACAGGACTTGCACTGGGCAGAAGTCTGTGGCACATGCCTTCAAAGCATTCCATTAGCTGGAATTTAAAATTCTCTGACGGAAATCAGAATCCTGTCTGAAGGCAATTTTGCAACAGTGTGAGATGTGCATGAGGCTCCTGAAGGCCATGGAGCTGTTCCAGGCAATTCGATGAATGGAGTGTTCAGCCGGTCAGGGCAGGCACCCAATTTAAAACATGCAGGTGAATAACTGATGGGACCTCTTGCTCAAACATCTCGAATGCATTTTGCCAGGCTCTCCAAGTGTGTAAAAGTCTTGGAAAATAACATGAAATTGCCTTGACTGCACTCATAAAATGGCTGGATGTAAATGTCCTTTAAAAATAAAAATAAAAAAAACTAAAGAGCATTTTTAAGGCTTTTGCTTCACAATAGGATGAAAATGATTTGAGGTGGGAGCACAATGATGTCAGCGAAGTGTGGCTCAGCCACGCTTTTGGTAGTTAATGCAGTCAGAGACACGGAGGAAGTCAGAAAACCTATTCTAAAATGATGTCTTAATGCAAAAAGAAAAAGCAGTGATGTGTAAATAGATACTGAGTTGTGTATTCTATTATGCAGTTGAAGGAAATTGAGATCAGAACTGCCATTCTAAGAAAGAGTTGACACAGATTCTCCATTTCAGTTTCTTTGAGGTGCTTAATAATCTGAGGTTGAATACAAAGACACCTGACTTTCCCGTGCCTTGATTTACCTATCTCTGAAGCAGAGAAGACACAGTGTGGCCACTCCATGATACTCTTGTGTGTAGTGTTTACCTTTCTCAGGCATGAGAAGGCTGCAATTACAAGATGGTTCTCAGAGATATGTGGGGTATTTTTATCATACTTGTTTAAGACGAGAAAAATGTTATCCCTCATTCCAAGAATATGAAATTCAATTTTAAGCAAGTTCACAAATTTAAAAAAAATTATTATGTTCCTTCTATGTGCCAGAATTTGTGCTAGGAACTCAGAAGGCAGAGAACATTCTCTGTCCTTAAGGAACCTCAAGGAGGAGACAGACATATAAACCAGCAATTACACTAAGTATTGCAGATATAGGTGGCAGTACTAGTACATGTTTCCAGAGTGTGAACATAAAAATGGGATACCGGATCAATATGATTTGTGTGAGGTTGAAGCTACCAATATGCAAATGAGTCCCAAGTAGATGCCAGAAAATGCTTACCTAACAAAGCTGTTCCCACCTCTCCCAGTGAAAACAGAAGTCAGCCCACAATGTCTCTAAAATTCCCACTATCCAGCATTCTTAAAAGCCCTCCTAAAGAGGGTAGGATAGGAGATGCGAGTTGTACATGGAATTCAATAATTATTAGATGTTAAATATTACTGAGACCGCCATTGCCGGCCAAGATAAAGTCAGCCCTCTATAGTCTGTCTCTCTCACAGATTACAGCTAAAAATGAATACAGAAAGTAACTATTTAAGGACTCTGAAAAGTAAACACCAGAAGATAGTTTGAAAGTCAAAATTTGAAGAAAAACCAGTATTAGGATGAGAATCCTGAGTTATTTTTGCTTTTGTATCTCACTGCTTTGAAATGAAAATGGCCCTAATTATGGAACTGAGCAGTAGGAGCAGACATCAAAACTCAGAGAAATCTCCTTTGTTGAACCAAACAGATACAGAGACCTCTGTAAGCTGAAAAGTGTAGAATATATTCCAAGGCTTTTTTTTTTTCTGTTTTTCCCCTCTTTTTTCCTCCTATCTCTAAGCGAGGAGTGGCCACAGTCTAGAGCTTCTCTGCAGCAGTTGTGGCATGTGCACCTAAAACACTGAGAAAGCAAACAAACAAACCACTGTCTCTCTGGTCAGAGGATCTTCAAAAGAGTTCCCTATCATCCCAAGTGGATGGGGGAAAATTTTTGTTTTCGTTCTCTTTGTCTCTCCAGTTGTGTGGAACTGCATATCAGGGTGGTCATTATGGAAAATCAATATTCTCTAGAGGATTTTAACAGGACTCAGAGTCTCACAACATAATATCAGATTGTCTAAAATACAATCTGAAACTACTTAACATACAAAGAACCAGGAAAATGTGACCAATAGTCAAGGGAAAAACCACTAACAGGTGCCAACCCACTCCAAAACAGCAAAACTCATTCTTTTCAAGTACCTATAAAGGACACATTCTGAACCATTAAATAAACCTTAACAATTTTAAAATAATTGAAATCATACCAAATATGTTGACAATAATATGTATGACCATACATGGTTAAAGAAAAAAATAAAAAATCAAGGATATCTAGAAAATACCTAAACATTTGGAAGTTAAACAACGCAGTGTAACTGTGTTAAACAACACAGTTCTAAATAACCCATTGGTCAAGTAAGTTTCAAGGGAAATAATAAAATATTTTAAAATAATTAATAATAAAAATACAATTTATAAAAAATTGTGGAAGTGCTTAGAGAGAAGAAAATTATAGTACTAAATGCTCATATTAGAAAAGAAAGTCTCAAATCAATAACTTAAGCTTCCACAGTGAGACATTAGAAAAAAAGAACAAACAGCTGAGCAGGGTGGTTCACCCCTGTAATCCCAGAACTTTGGGAGGCCGAGGCGGGTGGATCACCTGAGGTCAGGAGTTTGAGACCAGCCAGGCCAACATGGTGAAACCCCTTCTCTACTAAAAATACAAAAAATTAGCTGGGTGTGATGGCAGGCACCTGTAATCCCAGCTACTCGGGAGGCTGAGGCAGAAGAATCTATTGAACCCGGGAGGCGGAGATTGCAGTGAGCCAAGATTGTGCTATTGCACTCCAGCTTAGAGGCTAAGAATGAAACTCCATAAAACAAACAAACAACAAAAAAAAAACAAACAAAGATAAAAAGAACAAACTAAACCCAAAGCAAGCAGAGAAAATGAATTAACAAAAATAAAAACAAAAGTCAATGAAAATGAAAGCAGAAAAACAGTAGACAAAGCCAATGAAATATCAATAAAATGCATAAATCTCTAGCTATACTAAGCAAGAAGGAGAGAGAGAGAGAAGACAAAAGCTATCAATATCAGGAATGGAAGAGTGGATATCACTACAGAAAAACAAATGACTGTATTACCACAAATTTGTGTTTAAATCAGGGTTAAATCAGGAATTAAATGGACTAATTCCTTGAAACATACAAACTACCAAAGCTTGGTGAAGAAATTAGATAACTTGATTTGTCTCATATCTATTACAGAAATTGAATTTGTAGTTAAAATACTTCAAAAAAGAAAACTCCACGTCCAGATGGTTTTACTGAGTTATTCTCCCAAACATTTAAGGAAGAAGTAACAAATCTATATAATCTTTTCTCAGAAATAGAAAAGAAGGAAATACTTCACAACCCATTTTATTAGGCTAGAATTAGACCAGCATTAAAACCAGACCAATATCCCTTATGAACATAGGTGAAATAATTCTGAACAAAATTTTAGTGAATCTATTCCAGCAATATTTACAAAGGATAATGTAACATGACTAAGCAGGATTTGTCTTGGGAATGTAAGGCTGGTTCAACATTTGAAAGTCAATCAGTATAATTAACTATATTAATAGGTTAAGAAGGAAAACCATGATTGCTTCAATAGATACAGAAAACGCATTTGAAATTTTCAATATCTATTCATGATACAAATTCTCAGCAAACTAATAATGGAAGGAAATTTTTTTAAAACTGATAAAGCGCATGTAGAAAAAACTGTATAGTTGATTTCACACTTAATGGGAAAAGACTGCTTTCCCCTAAAATAGGAAACAAGAGAAAGACTTTTGCTCTTACCACTTTTTTACAACATTGTTCTGGAAGGCCTAGCCAGTGCAATAAGGCCAGAAAAAGAAATAAAAGGCATTATGTAGAAAATTCCAAGGAATCTCTAAGAAAGCTCTAGAGCTCATAATCATAATTGACTAAAAAGATCAATATATAAAAATTAATTTTGGCCAGGCATGGTGGTTCACACCTATAATCCCATCACTTTGAGAGGCTGAGGCAGGCAGATCACTTGAGGTCAGGAGTTCGAGACCAGTCAGGCTAACATTGTGAAACCCCATCTCTACTAAAAATAGAAAAACTTAGCCAGGTGTGCTGGCACACACCTGTAATCCCAGATACTCGGGAGGCTGAGGCACGAGAATCACTTGAACCCAGGAGGCAAAGGTTGCAGTGAGCCAAGATCATGCCACTGCACTCCAGCCTGGGCAACAGAACAAGACTCTTATCTCAAAAAAAAAAAAAAACAAAAAAAACAAAACAAATGTATTTCTATATACTACCAATAAATAATTTATATTGAAATTTTACATTATGCCATTTATAATAGTGCCATAAAATAAAATATTAAGAGTAAATGTAATATCAGCAGGATCTATATGTTATAAACCCTGATTTAAAAAAAAATCCCAAAGAAAGGCCAAATAAATGGGAAGATATACTGTGTTTATGGGATATTCATAAGATGTCAATTCTCCCCAAATTTATCTATAGGTTCAATGCAATTATAATCAAAATCTCCACAAAATTATTTATATATATTGGCAAGCTGATTCTAAAGTATATAGGGTAAAGCAAAAGAACGAGAATAGCAAAAGAAATTTGAAAAAGAGCAAAGTTGGAAAACTCATACCACTTTATTTCAAGTTAGTGTAATCAAGCGTGATATTGGCAAAAGGTTGAACACCTAAGTCAATCAAATAAAATAAAGCCCAGAAATAGACCTATATAAATATGGTCAACTGAATTTCTAAAAACATACAAAAGGTAAGTCAGTGGAGAAAGGATAGTCTTTTTAACAAAATTAACTCAAAATGAATCATAGAGCTAAGTATAAAATGTAAAACTGTAAACTTTTAAAGGAAAATATAGGAGAAAATTATTACATCCCTAAATTAGGCAAAAATTCTCATATTAACACCAAAACAATACTTTCAAGGAAAAAAATTGGTAAATTAGAATTCATTAAAAATTAAGAATTTGCTTTGCAAATGACATTGTCAAAATAATGCAAAGAAAAGCCACAGACTAGGAAAAAACCATCTGTGAATTACATATATGACAAAAGACTTGTATCCAGAATATAAAAAGATCTCAAAAATGCAACAATAAAAACACAAGGAAATTTTTAAAAGAATCAAAATTTTGAACAGACACTTCAACTAAAATACATATGTATGGCAAGTAGGCACATGAAAAGACAGTCAACATCAATAGACATCAGGGAAATACAAACTGAAACCACTACCTGCCAATTAGGAAGGCTAAAGTTTAAACACAATATGACAGTACAATGTATTAGTGAGGATTCAGGCCACTGGAATATTTGAACAACAGTTTGGTAGTTTCTTACAAGAAACTTAAATACACACTTACGATCTGATCCAGCAATCTCATTTTAAGGTATTTATCCAAAAAAATGAAAACTTATGTTCATATAAAACCATTATGCAAATGTAATACAGCAGCTTTATCCATAATCGCCCAAAGTTGGAAACAAATGTCCTTTAGTGAATGGATACACAATGAATAAGCAAATTCAGCCATAAAAAGGAACAAACTATTGATACATGCAACATGGAAGATTCTCAAATTCATTATGCTAAATTTAAGAAGCTAGGCTCAAAAAGCTACATATGGTAACCCATTTACACGCTACCCTGGAAAAGGCAAAACTACAGGAAAGAAGAACAAATCAGTGGTTGCCAAGAGTTTGGAGTGAGAGAAGTTGCCCCAAATGGGGGGCAGTTAGAAGGAACACTTTGGGTCATGAAACTTGATTGGGGGCCAGGCGTGGTGGCTCACGCCTGTAATTCCAGCACTTTGGGAGGCTGAGGCAGGCAGATCACGAGGTCAGGAGATCGAGACCATCCTGGCTAACACGGTGAAACCCCGTCTCTACTAAAAATACAAAAAATTAGCCGGGCGTGGTGGCAGGCACCTGTAGTTCCAGCTACTCGGGAGGCTGAGGCAGGAGAATGGCGTGAACCCGGGAGGCGGAGCTTGCAGTGAGCCGAGATTATGCCACAGCACTCCAGCCTGGGCGACAAATCGAGACTCTGTCTCCAAAAAAAAAAAAAAAAAAAAAAAAAACTTGATTGGGATCCAAAATCATACAACTATACACTAAAATCAGTGAATATTACCTTATGAAAATTAAAAATTAGGAAATCAAAAGAAAAGCATACATATAAAAAATAGTTTTTTCTAAGCATTTCTCATTTGTAAGGTGTTTTAATTATGTTGTATGTTGTCTCATTTCACCCCCATAACAAATCTATGAAAGAGGTACTTTTATCCCCATGTTAACGTGAATAAACCCAGGTTTGGAAAAGTCGAGAAACATACTTACTGTCATATAGTTAACAAGTGACTGAGCAGGGATGTGAAGCCAGATTCCTCTGACTCCAAGGTCTGAGTTCTTCCTCCTGCACAGTGGTCAATTGGCTAGATCCACATAAACAGCATGCACAAACTCACCACTCACACATACATACCCACAGACACACACCACACAGATGGGATACATCTCACAATCACATATATGGAATGAGTGATATGCAAATATAAAATTGCATTATTTTTATATTATTCTCATTTTATATAAATCCTACCACGAGGCATAGTCTGTCTCATTCATTCATTCATTTATCATCCCTTCATTTATTCCCTCATTTCCTCAGGAAATAGCTTCCTTTGTGGCAGGTGCTATTCCAGACTCTGGAGATACTACAGTAAACAAAACAGAATAAACTCAAAAACTCTAAAATGCAACAATAAAAAACAAGGAAATTTCAAAAAGGATCAAAGTTTTGAACAGACCTTTCAACTGAAATATATATGTAGTTAATACACACACAAAAACAAGTAAATAACAAGTGGGATATTTGGTAGTGACAAGTGCTATGAAGAAACACTAAAGCAAAGTAAGAAGAGTGAGTAAGAGGAGGAACTGTTTTAGAGACAATGACCAGGGAGGCCTCTCTGCGAAGGGGAATTGAAACAGAGAATGGATGGAAGAGAGGCAGGGAGTATTGGGAAGGTCTGGGAGAAGGTTTTGCCAGGACACAGGAATAACCAGGAGAAGCCCCTGAGGTAGGAGTCGCTTGGCACGTTTGAGGTACAGCCAGTGGGCTGCTCGGCTTGGGTGAGCTTGCAGGGCTGAGAGTGGGAGGAAGCCAGGGAAGCTGTAGAACTTTCCTACTTACGGTGCGTACTTGTAGCTGTTCTTCAATTCTCCAGTATAAGTGTATCTCCCTGGTTAATTGCAAATTATTTACAGGACCATGCTTTCTATTTTTTAAATGAATCTCAGTCTGTACCTGGCACTTCACTGGGCATGGAGCTAATGCCAAATAAAAACGTGATGGTTGATGAGTGCTGTTCATACACATTTCCCAGTGGTTCTACCCCCGGAAGGCAGCTATGTGATCAATAAATAGGACGCCAGGAGAGTGGGAATTTCCAGCAGTACTTCATACTGTCACCTTTGAGACCTATAGAGAGTTCTGCTGAGGGCAAGTTTTTGTGGTATAGGAGGTCATCCTGATGAGGGTTTTTTTTTTTTTTTTTTAATGGTGGCTTTTAGCGTAAATTGGCAGGGATTGATCAGGTGTTTCCTCTAGGCTAATGCTCCTTGGGGATCATGGGATGTGGTCTGCACACTCATCTGAGAAGTTCCAGTAATGGCAAGGCAGTCACCAGGGGACCCATGTCCTCAGAGGACCTGGCTCCTCAGAGAAACTGCAGGTTCACTGGGGGAGATTATCAGGACTTTAGACCTCAGGATGAAGAGACACACTCCAGGAGGGGCTGTGGATAGTTACTATGGTGCCCCAGAAAGGTGTCAGGGTAGTGCATGGGGAAAGCCCCCCAGGGTCCTGGCCAGCTTAGAGGCAATGGGGAGGAGCATGCTGGGCAGACTGTGCGGGATCCAGTCATGATCAGCCTAGCTCCTGAGGGGCTTTGCGTGGCACAGGTGTGAGGATAAGAGCAAAGATTCCAGTAAGGAACAAAGAGACAGTGAGTCTCTAGGAAGCCTGGACTTTTGATTTAGCCAGACTTGGGTTTGCAGCCTAGCTCCTGCCCAGGGTAGAGTAAGCTCCTTTCACCACCACCGCCATTATAGGGGAATCCTAGCAAATCTATGAGAGCCAGAAGCTAGACACAATGCCTGCTGCTTAGTGCTCACCATATACTTGTCCTTGGATAGCCAATGTCAAGTTAAATTTGCCAGAATTGTCACTCTGGGCCAGAAAGAGCTGTGTCCTGGCAATGGTGGCAGGGAGTCACCAGCAGGATCGGGTAGGACCCATGGTCACCACAGTGGCTAGTGCTGTGAGGAGGATGGAGATGCAGGAGAGTTTGCTCCCATAGGCAAGCACCATGGTGGGGCCACTGAGACTGAGACCAGCACACTGAGGGCTGGGCCTGGCAGTGGCCCCTTTGCACAGGCAGAAGAGCCTCCTGGAAGAGGACTCAGTCTGGGCCCACTATGGGGGCTGACTGCTTGTAAGGAACGGAATAGACCACCAGGGGAGAACACCTCCCACATGAGGTAGTGCCAGAGCAAGACGCTGGACCTGACAACAAAGCCTTCAGTGGTGAAGACAGCAGAGACTCCAAGCTCCCTGTGAAGGAAGCGACTCATCCCATCCCTAGCCCAGCTCCTTTCCTAAGGAGGAAAAAGGTGAGAATTCCAAAAAGAAAAACTCTGTCAGTAAATTCTAACATGCGAGGTCTCAAGGAGCCCTACTCGGCCCCCGTCCAACAGCCAGTAACACAAAAAGCTGGCCGCTCAGAGACCACAGTACAGTCTGTTCTTAGGACAGAAGAGCAGATGGGTGGCACACAGGCCATAACCACCAACATGGAGTTGCTACGCCAGGTGGAGCCAGGGCCTCACTCCTGCACCCCGTGGAGCTGTGACAGCTGGTGGCGGGCATTCTGGTGACAAGTGAGCCATGAGCAGGCTTGCGTGGCACAGAGAGCGGGCTCGTTCTTACATACCCATGAGACACCCTCTGGAGAGTCCCAGAAATACTGGCCTGGAGCTTACAGGTGGAGGAGGTGTGAAGGTCTGCAGGTGCAAATGAGGCCAAGCAGTCAGTGAGATTTAAATTGGTCCTGTTAACCTGACCTCATTTGTATCCTCAGTATGGAGGCACTTTGGGAAGATAAGGCAAGAATAGTGATGATCAGTAATAGCATCTACTTGTTGAGCACCTATTGCAAGCAGGCACTAGGCTTAAAACTCTAAACATATTTTTTTTTACTCTTTATCCCAACCCTGAAATAAGGACATTTGAGACGGGAGGAAACTGAGGCTGAGCATTCATGTAAAGGTTGCGGCAGCATCTGGGAGAGGTGTGGGAAAGCACAGGAACAGGACCCAAATGTTCACAGCAGAAGCAGTCCCTAGCAGGGGCCCTTCTCTGGCATGCTCACTGCTCCCTCTGGACTCAGGAGGAGTCTCCAGGCTCCAGGAAGGACATGGGGCAAAGCTCTGCTTTTTGACCTGGGCATCTCCTTTTGAGGGAGTGGTGAGTTAGCCAAATGGGGCATGGAAATGACTGTGAAAATGGAATGGCAGCTGAAAGAAGGCCATGATCCAGGAAAGGGCATGAGGAGGGCAAACTGCAAAAGCCTGAGGCACTGCAGGGATGGGAATGTTGAAGGGTATAACAGCACATCAGGGTTTCCATGACTTTGATGCAAGGGGAAAGCGATTTTCACCTCAGACTCAAACTGGAAGTTTTTCTCCCTACCAAAAGGCAGGATGCCAGAGAAACAGACCTTTTCCCTCCTGGGTAGGAGTTTGGTGTTTCTCCAGTGCTCCACTCTGACCTAGCAGGGAGCTAGCAGAGACCATCCCACAGTCACCTCATCCAGCAGAGGATTTTCCACATGTGCCACGGGCTCTGTTCCTCAGCGACTTCAATAACAGAAGTTCAGCATTTGGGGGGTGCCAGGCTAAAGGAAGTCAATCAAGCTTCTTGTTTTGTGTTTCATTTTGCTTTTACCCTAGCATTTTCCAGAGCCTTTAACATGCTAAAACGAATTGTCACTCACCAGGAGTGGAGATGCAGCCGGTCCTGAATTTATCTGAAAAATGAAAATCTTTATTTGGAAAATGCTTATTAACATCTTAGCGAATTGGTGTTCTGGGGAAGATGATTTAGGAAAATCTGCTCTATGCATGTCACTGCCTGCTTCATGATTGCTTACTGCTTAATTTGATGCAACTTTTTTTTTAACCAAAAGTCAAATAATAACCCAGGTTTACCATTTGCAAAGCTTCTCCCTACTCCCAACACACACACCTTCCTCCTTCTTCCTCTTCTCCCTTTCCCTCTCCCTCTCCTTTTCCTGCCCTTTACTGTACAAGAATGCCTTGAATAAAGAAAACCTATAAAACAGAAATATAAATTTGGAAGTGATTATTTAATTGGCCTTTGATTTCATGACAGGCAAAAATAAGTTGGCCCTCAATTTTTTTTTTTTTTTTTGTAAAAAATGATACTTTAAATACTAAAGGATTTAAAGGATACTTGGTAAATATTTGTTGGTTTAATTCATGAAACATGTGGATGTTATGTGAAAATACATTATCTGTATCCCAGAAATAAAAAAAAATATCCTTTTTCTGGCCTAGAGCATAATACTTCAGCCCTGGGGGCCCCACTCACCTGGTATTCTATGTATATGGTGCCCCCTGCAGCAGCCCTGGGCTCATTACAAGTAACACTGATTCTTAGGTGTTCTATGCCTTTTTACCAATCTCTTTAGAGGAAGCAGATGAACATTTAGAATTTTAACAGGGAATGTTTACCTGAGGACAGAAGCTAGATGAAAAGATCAGCTGGAACCCAGAACACATATTTTTCCTGACAATCCAGCCAAATGTGAATCCAGGGACTCGGTGTAATTCATCAGAACAAAGCAACACTGCAGGCAGGTTGTGTGGTACCCATTTGCCTTTGTAATACCGCCATGCTCAATTCCAAACACAGTCTGTCAACTCATCGGAGCCCCACTGGTGAGAAAGCCAAGGCTGGCAGCAGGTTTGGTGCCACCTCTTGGTGCCAGAGCCACCTGCACACAGCATGGAGCAAGGGAATAGCCAGGGTGCCCTGGATCCAGTTCCTTCCAGAAGCCAGCAGCCCTAGGGCTCCTCCATCCCACTCCCAGCAAGAAGAAGCTGCCATGAATATGAAGGTGGGAAGAGGAAGCTCAGACCAGGGGAAGGCTTGGGCTGTGTGTTAATTCTTCTCTGGTCCCCAGGACCCAACACAGTTGTCTGGTTAATACTGCATTAAATGCAGTTAATTGATTCTAGCCCCATTTCCACTAAGAAATTCCTGAGTGCTCTCAGAAAGTTACTTCTCTTGGAGCCTGCAGCACAACAAACCACTCAGAACTTGGTGCTATAAAACAACAGCAAGCATTTGTCATTACTATCTTTCACTTCTTTAGGGGTTGATGGGGCTCAGCTAGGCAGTTTTTGGTCCTCATGCAGTGACAATCAGACAATGGCTGGGGCTAGAGTTCTCTTGAAGGCCTTTCCATTCATATTCTCTGGTGCCTGACTTGGGAAGACCTAAATAGCTGGCGGCTGGAACAGTCGGGGCTCCTCAGGCACCTCTGTCTATTACAATGTGCTCCCTCCATGTGGACTCTCTGTCAGGGTAGCTGGACTTCTTACATGAAGTCACCTGTACCCGGAGACAGGCTGGTGGAAGTCAATAACCCATTGTGATCCAGCTTCACAAGTCAAGCAGTGTCACTTCCACCATATTATATGCACGGAGACAGTCAAAAGTGCTGCCCATGTTCCAGGGCAGGAGATAGGTCTCTCTTCTTGATGGGAAGAATGTTAAAGAATTTACAGACTTGCTTTGAAACAGAGCCTTAATTTCTCCATATCCTCTAAATGAGGATAATAATACCTTCTTTTTTCCCTAAGGTATAACCCCTTCATAACCTTCTATTATAAGTGTTTGATATCCTGATATTTCTTTCTCCATGCCAGAACATACTTTCAGAAAAAGCTGAAATATTCTTTATAGTAGGATGTAAATAACTGATAAGGCTTAATATGGTACCATTGCCAGGAACTTTAGTCTTTTCATAGATCGCAACATATTTAAAGCCAATGGAATATATCACGGCATTTTGAACATCACTGAACAGTACTCAGGCAGAGATCTGTGAGCTTGGAAATGAAGCACCTACTCTTACAACCTACCTGAAAAGATGTTTACTGTTGCCTGTCTTGGTGAAAGAGCAATAAGGGACTTTGAGTTTGGGAGAAAGAATTCAGAAGAATAGTTAAAACCTCCAGTCCCAAGAACAGACCTCCTCTCTACCCCCAACCACTTTTAAACGCAGACACGAGGGACAAACTGACCACATACTTTGAAGATTACAGTAGATCTTGAACTAGTAAAGAGAATGTATCATATGAGGTTAACAGAATCAGAAATTTTGGCCAGTGAAGCCTTATCATGTCTGTCTTAAAACATCATTTTGACAAATATTTCTTCTTGAACTTAGGTAATTTTTGCAGTCGTTTAAAATAAAAGTCTGACCATTCTTCTTTCGTAAGAGGCAGACTTGGAAATAGTGTTGATCATTACTTAAATTGCTGTCCCTTCAGGAGTTAGATTTCCAAAGGAAAAAACTTAATATAATTCTTGTCATTCACTTAAAATTTACTGTCTATTTCTCATTGTGATTATCTTTAATAGTATGATATTTTTTATTTTATCTCTCACACCATAGTATTTCATTTACTTTTAAAATGGTCGTCTCATCAGGTTCTAAGATCAGGTTGCTTATTTGACAGGCAAAAATACTCGTGGATTCTAAATTATATTTTCTCCACAGCATGTTATTATGAAGTCACCAGTTTAGTATTTGACCTCAAATAACACTGAGGTCCATTATGTTAATATGCGCTCTCACTATAGTTTAAGTTTATTACAGAATATTCTGAAAGATCCAAATTTATTGGTAACTCATGGGCGAACTCCCATTTTAAATCCTCTAGTTGTTTAGAGTCACAGCAAAACTAGCAACTTGCCTTTCAACATTTGCAATAGCATAATGTGGCTTTCCACAAGCCACACTTGTTTTTAAAAGTATGTGCTAAAGAGGCTGACTCAGCATTCTGAGATGCTCTGGCATTGTATTACCCGCCCCCACCACAAAAATTTTTTTTCTTTATCTCACACCTCAAATTACAGGTTATTTGTATGCAAAAATTGCAGATAGTTCATCTATGATACTAACTCCTGGCAACTCAATAAAAGCTTTTTAGTAATATGTTTTTCTTAATCGAATATTGTGTTTCTTTTATAATATCTACAAACTAATTGATAAATAATCTCACACTTTTAATCATTTTACTTTGGAACATACTCTATTTATTCTCCACACTAAAATATTGGGCAAAAAAACCTTTTATAAGAAGTGCAGAAATAAAATTGCTAAAGTCTAATTATAAAACAAAAATATTTGGGGTTTGATTTTAAATGTTTTAATTAGAAAAGGAAAAGCAGTTTTAAGTGCAGCTTGCTATATAGCCATATTCATATGAATATATATTATTATGTTAACACAATAATAACTCTTTGCCCTTTTCATATGGAAAATAGATTGTGAAAAACAGAATGACCTTTGTTCTACCAAATGTTAAACAATAAAAGCATATCGTTTTGTCTGACCATTTAAGACCCATGATCACTTTTAAAACTCAACAATGCTTAGTTAAAAAGTCTTAATTCTTTGTAGTCTGTGCTACACATACAAAGATTACACAGATTTCTTTTCTAAAACTTTTAAATTATTTTCTAGTTTCACTAGAAACAACAGGTGTAAGATTCTATTTCCACCACAAGGTGTCAGTCCACGGTAATTTAAGCTTCAAAGGGCTTTAAACTAATCCAAGGAAAGTCAGTGACTACAGAAAATACTTATATTAAAACATGCTTTGTTAAACGGATGCTTGAAGGCGGCATGCTAGTTAAGAGTCATCACCACTCCCTAATCTCAAGTACTCAGGGACACAAACACTGCGGAAGGCCGCAGGGTCCTCTGCCTAGGAAAACCAGAGAACTTTGTTCACTTGTTTATCTGCTGACCTTCCCTCCACTATTGTCCTATGACCCTGCCAAATCCCCCTCTGCGAGAAACACCCAAGAATGATCAATAAAAAAAAATAATAATAATTAAAAAAAAAAAAGTAAAAAAAAAAAAAAAAAAAAAAAAAAAACATGAACAGTCTTCGGTGCCCTAGCAGTGAATAAAAAACAATCATGGAAAATGTGGTTGCGCGTTTATTTTCCTTTGTGTTTTCTACTCAGCTTAGTCCTGAGAATGTTGTATACCAAATCCCCAGAATTTTGCAATTCATGTCTCAGACCCTATCTTGAGGCTGGTTCCAACGGAGAGAAGTAAATCCCCTGCTCAAGTTGTCTTTTTCTAAAACCTTGGAATATTAACAGTTAACTTTACTTTAGGTTTGGAATACTTCATTGAGCTAGGATATGGGAAGCTGCACTTAAAAGCTAAGGCAAGGAAGGGAGGGACGGAGTAAACATGGGGTTTAAGGGTTTTTTTTTCGGCTGGGGAGCAGGGTTTGTGCGATTAAAGGTACACAATTTGAACAATTCAGGGAGCAAGTCACTCTCAGAAATTCAGCTTCGGATTCCTCAAACTGTCAATCACAGCCACTTCAGGACCGGCTGTTAGGTTTTAAATAAGGTGGCTGGGCGCGGTGGCTCACGCCTGTAATCTCAGCACTTTGGGAGGCCGAGGCGGGTGGATCACGAGGTCAGGAATTCAGGACCAGCCTGGCCAAGATGGTGAAATCCCCGTCTCTGCTGAAAATACAAAAATTAGCCGGGCACAGTGGCAGGCGCCTGTAATCCCAGCTACTCGGGAGGCTGAGGCAGGAGAATCGCTTGAACCCGGGGCTGGAGGTTGCAGTGAGCCAAGATCGCGCCACCGCACTCCAGCCTGGGCAACAGACTGAGACTCCGTCTCAAAAAAAATAAAAATAAAATAAAAATAAATAAGCTAACGTGTGGGAGGGTTTGTAAGCTCTAAACGGTCTATCTCAAAGTGTGATCTGGGAATGCTTCCATATCTCATGGGAACTTGTTACAAATGAGAATCTCAGACCCCATCCCAGACATACTGAACCGGAAACTGTGGGCGGACAGCCCAACAATCGGTGTTTTAATAAGCCCCCGGGTAATCTTATACACGCTAAAGTCTGAGAACCACTGCTCTAGAGAAATGCACAAACGTTCCTTAGTGGAGATTAAACAAAAGGCGAGGGGTTGGAGGGCGCGAAACGGACCTCAGGTGCAGGGCAGACGGCATTTGAGAGGAAACTGGGAGAGGCCGGAGTGCGACTTGGGGAGTCTTAGCCTCCAAGGACGTTCCGGAACCCTGCGGACGCGGGGCGCCAGCAGGTGGCGCTGGACGCGCAACGGACAAGGAGGCGGGGCCTGCAGCTGGCTTGGAGGCTCCGCGCTCTGGAGGCTCAGGCGCCGCGTGGGGCCCGCACCTCTGGGCAGCAGCGGCAGCCGAGACTCACGGTCAAGCTAAGGCGAAGAGTGGGTGAGTCCCTTGAATCGTTCTCACTGGCCGTTTGCTCCTCGAGTCCGCCCGCGTGTCCCTGCAAGGCTGGGCGCCCGCTCCCAGTCTTGGGAGGGGTGTAGCGGGTCGCAAGCCTTCTCGTGACCTGGACAGCGGCCCTCCTGGGCGAGCGCTGCTCAATTCTCCGCTTATGCGCGGCTCTGGGGCGCGCTGCCTTCCAGCCCAGCTGGGTTGTGGCCGGGCCGGGGGTTGGGGAGAGCCAGGGACTCACAGGAAGCCTTTTCGCTAGGGGCTTAAGGTTGTGGTAGATTATTAAGTTTGTGCTCAGGTTGGATTTTGATGGCAAGTTTTTTAACGTGGCAAAGTTGCCAGAGTTTGCTGTGCATTGACGAATGACTGGTGCACAGTACTTAAAATCGTGCTACTTCTCGTCTTCGGGTTTCCTGGTAACAGAGGTTTTCATTTTTAGTCCTTAGAACACTGGCCCTACTCTTTCAGGATCTGGGTGGGGTTCAGGTTCCCTCCAAAATAGTCAATCAAGGCTTTAAATATGTAATTCTGGTCAAATCCACTGGAAGGTGTTTGTAGACATAAATTTTTTGTACACTTCCAAATTTCTTACTTTGTTACTTTTGTAAAATACATTTCCCTCCACATCCTGACGTGTAATAAAAGGTTATTCATTTAACATGAATGTTAAGCACAGAGGGAAAGCAATGCTTAAAAACAGCCCAGTGAAAAAAAAAAACAAAAAACTCGACTTCACTTAGTTAAATGTAAAACAAGTGTGCACTTGAAAGTATAAAAGGTTGGAAATGCAATGCAACCCACAGTGTATTCCAGGCATTGGGTTTCTTCATATTCTCAACTGCGGGACATAAACATGAGTAAGTTGGGCTGTGCCAACATTTAGGAACACCAGGGCAGCCATCCTGGTACAGCAAAACAGCAGTCGCATTAGAAATATGCTTCACTTTTTTTAAAAGGGGGTGAAAGAGAACTTTGGGTCGAATTCTGGAGTTCCTAACATTTTAACACCAGGTTGTTTTCTGTTATTTTTCTTTTTATGAAAAGATTTTACTGTAGAACTTAAATTTCATTTTGGTTAATGTCTGATGGAAACCAACAAATTTATTTGACTCATAGTTTATTTTCCTGGCTTATGGGCATAGAGTTGACTGTGGGCCACACAGTCAACAAGCTTCCTCACTGTCATGGGCTTTTCCTTGGCTTTGCTCTTGAGTGTGGTCTCCTTACCATGCAGACAAATGGCTGGGTAACTCTCCAGGGCCACTCTGGTTTTCCACCCAGACTCCGTTTGTAGTGGCCATCAGTCAGCAAACACTGCCAACCTGCTAGCTACCCCAGGACTGGGTCTAGAAGACAGCGCTGAGCCTTTTCCTCTACTTCCCTTCCCATGCCACCATCTGCCTGTAAAACTTTATCCTCCTCTAGGATACATCGCTCTACCATGCAGTTGAAATGCCTGCCTTCTCTCCTAGACCTCAAGGTTTTTCAGAGCAGAGGCTTTATCTCATTTAACTTTGCATTCCTCCTGCCTTACATTGTTGTTCACAATATAGTTAATGAATTCATATTGAATAAATGTAGGTGGATTTGTTAGCATCCTTACGATACTGCAACCCTCAAAGTTAAAAGATCTTCTAAACATAGTGAATTATTTCTTACATTTGATTATAGTAGGTGACACTTCCATTCCTAGCACCTCCCTCCCCCACCCCACAAACTATTATGTTGGTGATATGGTTTGGAGCTGTGTCTCTCCCTCAGATCTCATGTTGAAATGTAACCCCCAGTGAGGGAGCTGGGGTCTGGTGGGAGGTGATTGGACCATGGGAGCAGTTTCTCATGGTTTAACACCATCCCCCCTTGGTGCTGTTGTCACGTTAGTGCAGGGGTACCCAACCCCGTGGCCGCAGACTGGTATCAGTCAGTGTCCTTTTAGGAACTGGGCTGCACAGCAGGAGGGGAGTGGCAGGCCAGCGAGCATTACTGCCTGAGCTCCACCTCCTGTCAGATGAACAGTGGCATTAGATTCTCCTAAGTGCATGAACCCTATTGCAAACTGCACATGCAAGGGATCTAGGTTGTGTGCTCCTTATGAGAATCTAACTATTGCCTGATGATCTGAGGTGGAACAGTTTCACCTCAAAACCCTATCCCCCTTCCCCTACTTGGAAAAATTGTCTTCCACGAAACCAGTCCCTGGTGCCAAAAAGGTTGGGGACCACTGCGATAATGTAAGACGCCTGCTCCCACTTCACCTTCCGCCATGACTATAAGCCCTCTGAGCCCTCCCCAGAAGCAGATGTTGCCATGCTTCCTTTACAGCCTATGGAACCATGAGCCAATTAAATCTCCTTTCTTTATAATAATTACCCAGCCTCAGGTATTTCTTTATAGCAGTGCGAGAACAGCGTAATACAGTTGGTTAAGTCACCAAATGACTTGGAATAATGCTTCTTAAGGAGATAGAGTGTCATTTCCTCCAGAGCAGGCATGAGTGTCATTTCTATTTTTCCTCTTTAATGTTGGTCACAGAGTTGGGTTCATAAATACTTGATGATTGGCATATGCTTTACTCAGAATTCTTTTACATGCCAGTGGTGAACACCCAAATCACACTAACTTAAACCAAAAAAAAAGGGAATGTGTTGACTGTCTAACTGAAAAATTCAGGATCTAGTCTCAGGGGCTCTAAATACTGAAATATGCCGCCAGGACTCTTCTGTGTCTTTCTCTGCTTCTTGTTCTGCTTCCGTGTTGGCTTTCTTCTTTTCTAATGAAAACATGTTCCTTCTTAGAGCATGGAGAAAAAAGCATGGCAGGCTTATACTGTGCTATCTTAACAAAATGTTAAAGACATCTCATCTCTCTCTTCCACTTCCATATATAAATATCAGAGAATGACCAGGTTTAAGTAGGGTTCTGTGCCATCGCTAAGCCAATCAATGGGAAAACAGGAAACTGCCCAGGCCTGAGTCATATACCCACTTCTGTGACCAGGGAATGAGCGTTACTATTTTACACAATCTCCCAAAATCACATTGGAGGGAGGAAGGGCATTTCTCCAAATGGAGGAAATGTTTTAAATCAGAAAAGAATGTGGGCAAACTAAAACAACAGATATCTTCATCATGAATGTTCTGTAATTTTGAAATAGATAATATCTGGAAAATATTCCAAGAGTACCTCAACAAAGTAAATGTTGGCATATGTAAAAGCAACTCGTTATTCTTTGTTATAGTTAAACCTTTAAAACTTGGAGAATGTTTTAAGAACAGTCATGTCTCTTCATGACAGGATACATTCTGAGAAATTCATTGTAAGGCGGGATTTCATTGTTGAGGAAACATCATAGAGTGTACTTACATAAACTTAGATGGTACAGCCTCCTACATACTTAGGCTAGATGGTATAGTCTATTGCTCCTAGGCTACTAATCTGTATAGCATGTTACTGTGCTGAATACTGTGGGCAGTTGAAACACAATAGTAAGTATTTGTGTATCTGAACATAGAAAAGGTATAGTAAACATACATATATCGTACAAAAGATAAAAAATTGTATATTTGTACAGGACGCTTACTATGAATAGAACTTGCAGAACTGGAAGTTGCTCTGGGTGAGTCAGTGAGTGAGTAGTGAGTGAATGTAAAGGCCTGGGACATTACTGTACAGTACTATAGACTTTATAAACACTGTACACTAAGGCTACCCTACATTTATTGAAAAATTTTTTTCTTTAATAATAAATTAACTTTAGCTTACTGTAATTTTACTTTATTAACTTATTGTTTTTACTCTTTTGTAATAACACTTAGCTTAAAACATAGTCACATTGTACAGCCATACAAAATATTTTGTTTATGTACTTACTCCTTAAGCTTTTTTTCTATTTCTAATTTTTTTTTTCTTTTTAGACTTTTTTGTTGAAACTAAGACACAAACACACACATTAGCCCAGGCCTACCCAGGGTCAGGATCATCAGTATCACTGTCTTCCACCTCTATATCTTGTCCCACTGGAAGGTCTTCAAGGGCAGTAACAGGCATGGAGCTGCCATCTTCTATGATAACAATGCCTTCTTCTGGAAGACCTCCTGAAGGACCTGCCTAGGGCTGTTTACAGTTAGCTCTTTTTTTGTAAGTAGAAGGAGTACACTTCACAATAATAATAAAAAGTATAGTATTGTAAATACTAGGCAATAGGAATTTTTTTGCTCCATTATACTCTTATGGGACCACTGTTACATATGCAGTCAGTCGTTGACCAAAGTGTTATGTGACACATCACTGTATTTTAAACTATTCCTGGAAACAGCTTTCCACCTAAAAAAGTACTACACGTGGTCTAAAATTCAGAAACACTTGGGATATTTTCTGTCAATCAAATTGTTGTATATCTAATCTGTTTTTCTCATTGAATTTCATAAAGTGTAAATTGAAGATGTGTTCCTCTGGAAATAAATTCAGAACTAATAAAAACAATGAATAGTACTGTGACATATGTTTTCTTTCCCTAAAAAATGTTACACCAATCCTGGATGAGGATCTGTGAGTTTGCTAAGGAAAAGATTCTTTTATCAAGTGAGAAATTTGAAAAGTTGTTTTCCACAGGGTTGACCAGAAGACTGGGCACATCATTAATTCGGCACAACTCACCATTCCCACTGGAAACATACTAGCAATTCACATCTTCCAAACAAGCACCAACCTCTTACTCCAAAAGAAAAATGGTACTCTGAAAATACTGTTTCAGACTCCAGTGTCAACCCCAAAATTCTGTTAAACATAAATCTTATATCAGCTACCTCCAGCCTCCATTGATGACATTATTACTCTCAATATAATACATTCCTAATTATATTTGCCATTGAAAGGAGTTGGCTTTCCTCCAGATGGAAACCTGAAATTAAATCTTCCTCAAGTAAAAGGCAACATCTGACCCTTTGTAATGCATACAGGCACCTGGGTTATTCATTGAACAAATAAGTAGATAAAGAAGAGCAGTTACTGTTGATAAGAGGGCATTGGTTTGAAACTTACAGATTATAATATGAAGTTAAATGTATAAATCAGTCACTATTTCCATTTTTATTGTATTTTATCTGCCATTCTAGTCTTTAAGTAAGTAAATTTTTTATATTGTTACATCAAACATTCACATCATAAGTAGAATGGACATGAAAGTAATTATTTTTATTTTTACAGGTGGCTGAAGCCATACTATTTTATAGAATTAATGGAAAGCAGAAAAGACATCACAAACCAAGAAGAACTTTGGAAAATGAAGCCTAGGAGAAATTTAGAAGAAGACGATTATTTGGTAAAATATTAATAATAACAATAATAAATAATAATTTACATCTTTAAACATAATTCAGATGCCATTCTGTATCTCCTAGTGTTATGAAAGTGATTTTTCACCCTAGTCTGCTGATATCTGGACTTGGATTACCGTCACTGATACTGTGAAGGACAGAGTAGCATATGTGAGAGACATAGTACCTTCACTGATTGTCAGGGACTTAGCTGAATAACCTTGAATAAGTTACTGAAAATCTGGGGTCTTAGTTTGTTTATACCATGAAAGCCTTGGACCAGATCATCCCCAAGGCCCTTCCAATTCTTTCTAACAGTCTATAGTTCTAAGTTAAAAAAAAAAAAAAGTCATCAATGCCCATATAACAGTAATTTTGTAAGCAAGCATTTTTGTCATAGACACAGTGGCAGCTTACCAAGAGATCAGTAAATTGACGATTCACTGTATAACCAAATAAATCTACTTTTGGATAAGAATCACTTGTTCCACTTTTGGTCAAACACAGGATTAAGTGTTTCTTACTACATTTTTTGACTGAAAAAGTGGCAGAAATTTTGGTTCCAAACTTCCAAATTATCTCAATGGAAGTTTTAGCAGAAATTATTTATTTAATCTTAATAATTTTAATAGGGAAAAGTAATTAATAAATTACAAGCATATACTTTATAAGAGTAACAATGTGCATAAAATGAAATAATTTCATTTTTCAAGTTAACTGTCTTACCTGTCTGAAGCATGTATTTCTTTTGTCCTAAAGACAAAAGTCTTTCAGTGCCACATAGACTATGCTATCTTCAACTAACCAGTATTCAAAAGCAAGATTCTGAATGCCCTTATTCAATGAGAAGCACAATGATTGAGCAATAAGTAATTAGTTCAAGAGATATCCCATTGTTTTGTTCAATTTTAAGATGTTAATTTTCTTTCCTTTGTAGCATAAGGACACGGGAGAGACCAGCATGCTAAAAAGACCTGTGCTTTTGCATTTGCACCAAACAGCCCATGCTGATGAATTTGACTGCCCTTCAGAACTTCAGCACACACAGGAACTCTTTCCACAGTGGCACTTGCCAATTAAAATAGCTGCTATTATAGCATCTCTGACTTTTCTTTACACTCTTCTGAGGGAAGTAATTCACCCTTTAGCAACTTCCCATCAACAATATTTTTATAAAATTCCAATCCTGGTCATCAACAAAGTCTTGCCAATGGTTTCCATCACTCTCTTGGCATTGGTTTACCTGCCAGGTGTGATAGCAGCAATTGTCCAACTTCATAATGGAACCAAGTATAAGAAGTTTCCACATTGGTTGGATAAGTGGATGTTAACAAGAAAGCAGTTTGGGCTTCTCAGTTTCTTTTTTGCTGTACTGCATGCAATTTATAGTCTGTCTTACCCAATGAGGCGATCCTACAGATACAAGTTGCTAAACTGGGCATATCAACAGGTAAGATGACAGTGTTGACACTGTTACTAATAAAAAGTCTAAGTCACCTAACAAATTAATCATTTCTCATTGTAATATCAATACCCCAACCCTGTTGAAACTCTGTGTTGAAAAAGTCATCTATTTTAAAATTTTTATTATAATTACACTAGGGCTTGGTTGTCAGTCGGTTTTATATTGAGAAATGTTTTTTAGGCTGAAAATAAGGTACAACTTTAGCAACATAAGAAACATTTTGTTCATGGACGAGGCCATATTTCAAACTTCTACCACCCTCACAAGATTACTTTTTAATATTGTTGTTCTTCTCCTTGTTTACCAATATGCATGCACATTACAGTTCTATCCAAGTAAACCATCAAATAATTATTAGAAAATTAATAGATTATGGAAGTGTTGCATTCAAGAAAAAAAGTGATAGCTCCTATGTCATTTGTCTTAGAGGAATGCAAAAAAAAAAAAAGAAAAAGTCATAAATTTGTGGAGACCTGTTATCAGGGCTTCATAGTAGGCACAGGGAAGAGTGTAGAAGGAGATTCACATTCAGGAAATAACTGTTGTTTGCATTTCTTCTTTCTTTATTTACCTTCTGGTAGGTCCAACAAAATAAAGAAGATGCCTGGATTGAGCATGATGTTTGGAGAATGGAGATTTATGTGTCTCTGGGAATTGTGGGATTGGCAATACTGGCTCTGTTGGCTGTGACATCTATTCCATCTGTGAGTGACTCTTTGACATGGAGAGAATTTCACTATATTCAGGTAAATAATATATAAAATAACCCTAAGAGGTAAATCTTCTTTTTGTGTTTATGATATAGAATATGTTGACTTTACCCCATAAAAAATAACAAATGTTTTTCAACAGCAAAGATCTTATACTTGTTCCAATTAATAATGTGCTCTCCTGTTGTTTTCCCTATTGCTTCTAATTAGGACAAGTGTTTCCTAGACATAAATAAAAGGCATTAAAATATTCTTTGTTTTTTTTTTTTGTTTGTTTGTTTTTTGTTTGTTTGTTTGTTTTTTTGAGATGAAGTCTCGCTCTGTTGCCCATGCTGGAGTACAGTGGCACGATCTCGGCTCACTGCAACCTGCGCCTCCTGGGTTCAGGCGATTCTCTTGCCTCAGCCTCCTGAGTAGCTGGGATTACAGGCACCCATCACCATGTCCAGCTAATTTTTGTATTTTTAGTAGAGACAGGGTTTTCCCATGTTGGCCAGGCTGGTCTCGATCTCCTGACCTCAAATGATCCGCCCACCTCGGCCTCCCAAAGTGCTGGGATGACAGTTGTGAGCCACCACACTCAGCCTGCTCTTTCTAATATTTGAAACTTGTTAGACAATTTGCTACCCATCTAATGTGATATTTTAGGAATCCAATATGCATGGTTTATTATTTCTTAAAAAAAATATTCTTTTACCTGTCACCTGAATTTAGTAATGCCTTTTATGTTACACAACTTAGCACTTTCCAGAAACAAAAACTCTCTCCTTGAAATAATAGAGTTTTTATCTACCAAAGATATTCTAGTGTCTCATTTCAAAGGCTGCTTTTTCCAGCTTACATTTTATATACTTACTCACTTGAAGTTTCTAAATATTCTTGTAATTTTAAAAATATCTCAGATTTACTGAGGTTTATCTTCTGGTGGTAGATTATCCATAAGAAGAGTGATGTGCCAGAATCACTCTGGGATCCTTGTCTGACAAGATTCAAAGGACTAAATTTAATTCAGTCATGAACACTGCCAATTACCGTTTATGGGTAGACATCTTTGGAAATTTCCACAAGGTCAGACATTCGCAACTATCCCTTCTACATGTCCACACGTATACTCCAACACTTTATTAGGCATCTGATTAGTTTGGAAAGTATGCCTCCATCTGAATTAGTCCAGTGTGGCTTAGAGTTGGTACAACATTCTCACAGAATTTCCTAATTTTGTAGGTTCAGCCTGATAACCACTGGAGTTCTTTGGTCCTCATTAAATAGCTTTCTTCACACATTGCTCTGCCTGTTACACATATGATGAACACTGCTTTTTAGACTTCATTAGGAATTTAGGACTGCATCTTGACAACTGAGCCTATTCTACTATATGTACAATACCTAGCCCATAATAGGTATACAATACACATTTGGTAAAACTAATTTTCAACCAATGACATGTATTTTTCAACTAGTAACCTAGAAATGTTTCACTTAAAATCTGAGAACTGGTTACACTACAAGTTACCTTGGAGATTCATATATGAAAACGCAAACTTAGCTATTTGATTGTATTCACTGGGACTTAAGAATGCGCCTGAATAATTGTGAGTTCGATTTGTTCTGGCAGGCTAATGACCATTTCCAGTAAAGTGAATAGAGGTCAGAAGTCGTATAAAAGAGGTGTTGTCAGAACACCGTTGAGATTACATAGGTGAACAACTATTTTTAAGCAACTTTATTTGTGTAGTGACAAAGCATCCCAATGCAGGCTGAAATGTTTCATCACATCTCTGGATCTCTCTATTTTGTGCAGACATTGAAAAAATTGTTCATATTATTTCCATGTTATCAGAATATTTGATTTTTTAAAAACATAGGCCAAGTTCATTCACTTCATTATTCATTTATCAAAATCAGAGTGAATCACATTAGTCGCCTTCACAACTGATAAAGATCACTGAAGTCAAATTGATTTTTGCTATAATCTTCAATCTACCTATATTTAATTGAGAATCTAAAATGTACAAATCATTGTGTTGATTCTGCAGGGATCCTGCTATAAGTAAGACTCAGTCCCTGATTTTAGGTATCCTGTGATAAGCAGAATTAAGACAAATACACAAGAGACAAAGCACAAAAAATAAATATCATAAGGGGATGAACAAAATGGTGGAGAAAGAGTAGACAAAGTTTTTGATCACCTGCCTTCAAAGAAAGGCTGTGAATTTTGTTCACTTAGACAGCTTGGAGACAAGAAATTACCCAAAAGTAAGGTGAGGAGGATAGGCAAAAAGAGTAGAAAGATGTGAATGGACATTGTTGAGAAATGTGATAGGAAAACAATCATAGATAAAGGATTTCCAAGCAACAGAGCATATCCAGATGAGGTAGGATGGGATAAACTCTTATTGAACCAATCTTCACCAATTTTGTTTTTCTTTTGCAGAGCAAGCTAGGAATTGTTTCCCTTCTACTGGGCACAATACACGCATTGATTTTTGCCTGGAATAAGTGGATAGATATAAAACAATTTGTATGGTATACACCTCCAACTTTTATGATAGCTGTTTTCCTTCCAATTGTTGTCCTGATATTTAAAAGCATACTATTCCTGCCATGCTTGAGGAAGAAGATACTGAAGATTAGACATGGTTGGGAAGACGTCACCAAAATTAACAAAACTGAGATATGTTCCCAGTTGTAGAATTACTGTTTACACACATTTTTGTTCAATATTGATATATTTTATCACCAACATTTCAAGTTTGTATTTGTTAATAAAATGATTATTCAAGGATCTTGATGTTTCTCTTTGTATATATGTGATGAGTTTGAAATATTTGTATTTCCTTGCAGATTTTATTCAAAGCAAAAAAACTTTTTAAAATGAATCTCTAGCACTTTCTTTATGATAAAAGTAAGCATGACCAAAAAATCACATCTGATTTGTCAGATTATGTAGCATTATAAATAATCAAGGGCTTTGAAATACCAGTTGTTGCTACCCATTATACAGGTATCATTAGCTATGAAAAGATAATTTTATCTGAATCTACAACAAAAGTGTAATAAGCATTTACTTACGATTGTTAAAGAACTTTCATTTGTCTGTATCCAGGTTTTACTCATGGAACACCTATCTCCAAAAACACTCAGACTATGTCTATACAAGTAAAGCAGCACAGTAATATCAGATACACAGCCAGGCAAAATGAAACTCAGGCTATCCAGGAGAAAAAAAGTAAATTCAATAATTTCCACCTGAGTCATGTACAATTCAGTTTAACTTACTTTAATGCATTGGTAAAAGTATAACATAAAACATTTCCTGAAAGAACAAATTATACATTAGCTGTCAGGACTTGCTAACTCAACTGTTTGCTTCAGAAGTTTTTCATAATTAGCAAAAGTAATCACAAACTTTATCTTTCATAGTGGTGAGCCATTTATTACTAAAGACAATAGAGCTAATCGTGCAAATTAGGAAAATCAATTAGGCTATTCAGTAAGTGGAGTCCAGTTTTTCTATTTTTTGTTCTATTGCAAAGGATGATTATTCATTATTACATGGGGGATAAGGAACCTCCTTGGGCACAAATTTGAACTCTGCATTATTGGAGTTCAGACATACAGAGATATATTCGCAGGCAGTGAAGAAAGGAGTTGAGAGCAGCAATTCTGAACTGGAGCCAGGGCAGACAAGAGTGCCCTTGAGAAAAAACTCAGCATAAAAGAAAAAGAAATCTAGGACTCTAGAATTGCAAACCAGATTCATCAAGGGAACAACATACTATGGGACCACTTAACTAATGACACATGTCATTCCGTAATCAACCAGCTCTGAGATGCAGCAGTCAAGTACCATAGTCTCACCTGCATGGCAAAGTGCCAGCTCCTCCAGTACTGAGAAGGAGAAATCAAGTTTCAACCTTCCTAGTACCAAGACATTATAGAGGCTGCAGCTTGGAATTGTTTGCAGGTGAAGTGGCACCTCAGTGAAACTTTCAGGGACAATAGCCGAGTTCTGGCTTGATTATGGGAGCCCTGTCTTGTTAGCCATGGTAACAAGCAACAATAGGCCTATTCTGAAACACAGAATATACCTTTTTGAGGATTCCTAGTTATAAGAGAAAGGGAATCAACAAGGGCCTTAAAAGCAAGGCACAAAACATCTAGATTCCATTTTTACTCATAGATTGGTAAGAACTAAAGCATTCACACTTTGTAGCTTTTCTGAAGTTTTTACAATGGTTGGGTAATATTGTTATGAGCCAAATAAAACAATAAAAGATGTCTTTAAAAGAACAATTATAATGTTCTGGTATAAGCTTGAATTTTACTCACCTCGCCAACATCTATAGAGCATATTCCATATGCCAGGTCAGTGCTAAACAGAGGATATATCAAGATAGAAATGATCTAGTCTCTACTCGCAGTCATGGGGAAGACAAATTTTAGTGCACCAATGGATTCTAAATGTACTGGTATCACTTAGGAAGAAATGACCGGTTCCCTTTACAAGAGCAAAGCCAGGAAAGTATAAGGTTGAGCCAGAAAAAAATAAACTGTTGTTTGAGCTGGGTATTGTGTATGTAAAAGTTCCTCAGAATGGGAGGGCAGGGTGTAATGTGATGTGTTGGAAGACCTAGCTTAGAGTGGCTGCAACAGAATATGTGAAAGAAATACCAGATTACATATAGACAAAGGATAGATAGGTCAAGGTCATTGTATGACATGAAACTAAGTTTGGGTTTTGCCCTTTAGGGAGTAGGGAAGCCATTAAAAACTTTAAATAGGAGCTAAACATTATTCGGGAGCTCCTACACATTATTATTTTAGGCGCTAAACATGATCAGATTTGCATTCTAGAAAGAACTATCTGTAGACTATCCAGGAGATTAATTTGATGGTGAGGGGCAAAGGGTGAAGACAAGTTAGAAAACAACAAAAATATTTAAGGAGACAACTGCAATATCCCAGGGCAGAGACAATAAATTCCCAAATGAAGGTCATTACAGAGAAGAAGATAAAAGAAGAGAGCTAATGAAATATGATAGGAAGATAGAAGTTCTCATCATTCATGAACAATAGAAGATGAGGAACAAGGGGGAGGAAGGCATTTAGGGCAGAGCTTCTAGGATTCTTTTAGCTTGGATAACTTAAGAATGATACCATTAAACAGGATAGAAAAATTCCACAGAAGGAGCAGATATTTTAACCAAAACAAAAACAGTGTGTGCTCTGTACATTGTATTGCTGTTTACAATCATCTCAGTTGTTAAGGAATGCAGTGTGTTTTTTTAGTTTCAGGGTACACAAATATAATTATGAAAGACATATAGTTTGGGAAGCGGAAAGGAAAAGGTATTTTTCCTGCTCCTTTGAAAGGGTAATTTTTAAATAAAACTTTTGATATGGTCAACACACTTATATCTGGATAATTATAGATATGAACGTAGATATGAGGGTCACTATGCTATAACACGCACAGGGTCCTCCTGGAGTAGAAGGAACAGCGCCTAGAAAACAGCTGGCTGTGAGCCCAGTGCCTTCCTTCTCCAAGCAGAGCTCTCCTTCCTGAACAAAATGAGTCCACCTGGGGTTTATTTTCTTTAAAGATTTGCTCAATAGAGATTTTATTATCTTTGGTTTAAAATAAAAGTTAAAATGATATATTTACTATTTTAATGAGTTACATTTAATGTTTTATGGCAACAAAAAAGAAATATCTGATTCTGATGTGATTTTTCAGATCATAGACTACATGTCTAAAGAAGCCTATAAGAAATTATGGCCTATGAAGTGTGGAATCTGAGACTGCTGGCAAGATGGCCGACTAGGAACAGCTCTGGTGCACAGCTCCCAGCAAGATCCACGCAGGAGGTAGGTGATTTCTGCATTTCCAACTGAGGTACCCGGTTCATCCCATTGGGACCGGTTAGACAGTGGGTGAAGCCCAAGGAGGGCGAGCCAAAGCAGGGTGGGACATCACCTCACCAGGGAAGCACTAAGGTCAGGGAACTCCGTCTCCTAGCCAAGGGAAGCCATTAGGGATTGTACTGTGCACACCAGCCCAGATACTACGCTTTTCCCACGTTCTTCACAACCCTCAGACCAGGAGATTCCCTCCGGTGCCTATGCCACCAGGGCCCTGAGTTTCCAGCACAAAACTGGGCAGCCGTTTGGGCAGACACCAAGCGAGCCACAGGAGATTTGTTTCATACCCCAGTGGCACCTGGAACACCCATGACACAGAACCGTTCACCCCTGTGGAAAGGAGGCTGAAGCCAGGGAGCCCAAGTGGTCTGGCTTGGTGGGTCCCACCCCACAGATCCCAGCAAGCTAAGATCCACTGGCTTGAAATTCTCGCTGCCAGCAGAGCAGTCTGAACTCGAGGGAGGCTCAAGCTTGGTGGCGGGAGTACTTTCAGTACTGGCTTATCTTCATGTATTTCTATAAGAACTCTGTTTTCTCTCCTATTAAAACTGCTATTACACATCTTCCTTCCACTAAAATCAACAATAGTGTCTCCACTTATACCCAGTTGGTAGATTTTCCTTAGGAAATAGATGCAATTGGAAGAGAATGAGTTCATCTTCTCACCAACAAAATCTCTTGATTGATGTACATGCGTCTGGTACCCATATCTTCTGCATATTACAACAGAAAAATTATCCCTCTCCCAGTCTATGTCTAACTCAAAGAGTTTTGGTCTTAAATTGCACTCATTTCTCTTGTGTCATCAATTTACCCCTTTCTGCTGGATTATTCCCATTAATACTCAAGCATTAGATTAAATAAATAAATAAATAAAAATTTGGACCAACGTCCCCCTGTAGTTTCTACCCATTTCTCTGCTAACCTTTAAAACAAAATTACTATAGATACTTGCCACTTTGATATTAATTTACCTATTCAGCTTTCTTTTGGTTAGTATTTGCATGACATATGTTTTCTCATCCTATTATTTACAACCTTTCTATTTTCCTATGTTTTTAGATGTCTTTTGAGAACCGTATATAGTTTAGTTTTTTAAAAAAAAATTCAGTCAGGCAATCTTTGCTTTTAATTGCAACCTATAGGCCTACATATTTAATGTCATAATTGATATATTTGGACTTCATTATACCACCTTACTATTTGCTTCCCATTTCCTCATTAGTTCTATGTTTTTTTTCTTTCTCTCTTATATGACCTCATTTCAGATTGATTGAGATTATTTATTATTTCAGTTTTCCCTTCTCAAGCAAGCATACTTTATCTTACTATTTTTAGAAGTTACTCTAGAGATTATAATATCATCATTGACATAGCAGTCTAATATTAATTGGCACTTTTACCTCTTCTTGTTCAATGTCAGGAACGTCTACCCTTTAACTTCAGTTAACCCCCTTTTGACATATATGCTATTGTTGTCATGTGTTTTAATTCTATATATATTTAAACTCAATAGAAATTATAATTATGGTTTTATATTTATTGAGATTTATACACAGTTACCCTTTCGGTTAAAAAAAAAATCTTTAGTGTTCCTTTTAGTGTGTAATGCATGCCTGCTGGAAAAAAAAATTTTTTTCACAAGTTTTTGTTCTTAAAATATCTTTATTTTATCTTCATTATTAAAGAATACATTTTAGATGCTTAGAAATCTAGGAGGGCAGTTATTTTCTTTCAGAACTTTGTAGAAAGTTTCATTGTTTCTGATGAAAGACAAAAAATCTCATTCTAACCATTGCTTCAAGAGATCCCTATGGCTACTTTATAATTTTTTTTTTTTTTGCGTTAGTTTTCAGTACTTTTGCTATAGTGAGGTTAACTTTGGTTTTCCTATTAGTTATCTTAGTTAGGGCTTGTAGGCATTCTTGAACCTGGAGTTTAATACGATTATCAGATTTGGAAAATTCTCAGCCATTATCTTTTCAAATATTGCTGATGTCCCATTTTTCTCTCTCCTTTTTCAGGATTTCAATTACCCATGCTAGATGTTCTCATTATATCTCCTATTTTATAACTCTGTCTTTTTATTTTCTTTTTTTTCTATACTTCCTCCTGGGTAATCCTACCTATTTCTTAATTCTCTCTTCAATTGTGTCTAATTGGTTATTAAATCTATCCACTGAATTTTTAGTTTTAGTTCTGAGGTAAACTCAGTTTTATAATTTTAATTTGTTTTCATAGCTTCCAATTTTCTGTCAAATTTCCTACTCTTGTCCTTAATCTCCTTCAGCAGAATAAGAATCTTAAAGGTAAATCTATTATCATCTGAAGTTCATATGAGTCTGTTTCTATTGTCAGGTTTTTTTCTCCTTATTTTTCATTAATTCATTTTATGTCCTAACATGAACTGGTTATTTTTACTGAGTGCTGGACCTTATAGTTTTTTAAAATCATACAAATAATTTGAAGCTATGATGACATTATGTTACTCCAGAGAGAATTTGTGTTTTCTTCAGACAGCCAGTTAGGGGCTCTAACAATGTGGGAATCTCTTAATCCAATTTTAAGAATTGAGTTTACTTAAAATTGGGTTTAAGCCCCTGCCAAACTTGAACTACTTCTGGTTCACATTTATTCCTAAGAGTAAGTTCCCTGAGATTCCGACCCAGAGCTTGATGGAGAGTGGCTCCAAGGGCTCTCCTCCTTGGCATACTCTGGATTACAGATTTTGTTCCATTAGTCTCTTGAGGCTACTAAAAGTACTGTTCAAGACTTGTAACCTCTCTGTTACCTCTTCTAGAATCCCCTAATGGAAAAGTAAACCTCAGTGCTGGGTTTACCTCTCTTGGGTTCTTTCTTCCTCCAAGACTTATTACCCATCACCATTTTGTTAGCTACTCAACACCTTCAGGCACAGAGTTTTTATAATTGGTCTTGCTTTTCTAGTTGATCCCAGGTTTGGTACATATAACCCAGGAATGACCAGCAGCAGAAATCACTAGAGAGAGTTGATTACATTTGTTATCTCTATGTCCCCCTCTTCCATTTTCTCTCTTCTATTCTGTACAATTTTATCTCTCACTGTTGCACTACACCTCTCTTGTCAAGATGACCAAGTGATAAAATCTCAGTCCTCACTTTACTTGCTCACCCAGTAATATTTGACAAGTTTATTCCTCTCTTTCTTGAAACATTTTATTTTCTTGGCTTCTGGGAAAACCTACTCCCTGAGTGACTTTTCTGTGTCATTTGCTGGCTCCTCTTCCCTTTCCTATCATCTCAATGTTAGCAAGATTGACTCTTTGATGTCCTTTTCTTCTCTTTTTATAACCACAATAGAAGTAATCATCTCCTTTAATCTCATGGCCTTAAATATTAGGTTGGTGTAAAAGTAATTGCTTTTTTCCCCATTACTTTCAATGGCAAAAATCTCAATTACTTTTGCACCAACCTAACAAAAAACATCAAAAGTATGTTGATGAGTCCCAAATTTATATCCCTAGGCTTTCACCTGAGCTGCAGCCTATTACATCTGCCTTTTTGACAACTTCTCTTGAATATCTAAGAAGCATCTCAAACATAAGATTCTAAAGGCAAAATCTTAATTTCTTTCCCATTCTCGCCCAGTTGCTCAAGACAGACACTCAGGAGTTATCTTTGGTACTTCCTTTTACTTCATACCCATATCCCATTTACCAGCAAATTCTACGGGCTTGACCACCAAAATATGTTTTGCATCCAACTGCAACCTCACTAAACTCATCGAGGTCCAAGTCACAGCAATCTCTCTCCTAGGATTCTTGCAACAAACTTCCAAAATGGTCTTCCTGTTCCCACTCTTGCCCTCATCCCCTGCTACCACTAGCAGAATATTTTCCACCCAGCAACCAGTGTAATTCTTCAAAAATGTAAATGCTATCCGGTCACTCCTATGCACAAAACTCTCCAATGTTTTCACATAAATTTTAAAATAAAACCCAGGCTCTTTACCATGGTCTACAAATCCCCAAAACATCTGGACCCTGCTCGCTTTCTGAACTCATCTCCTGCCACTCTTTACCTCACTCAAGCCACTCACATTCCACTGGTATTCTTGCGTGTCTTCAAAAATAAGCTCATTCCTACCTTAGGCCCTTCGTATTCTCTATATCCTCTGTCTAGAATGTTCTACCTATGCCTCAGTTTTTACATGATTAGTTTTTTTTCATCATTCACATCTATGTTGAGATGTCACCTCTTCAGAGTGCCTTTCTCTGACTACTCTACGTAAAATAGCTCCTTTCCTGTATCCTTTTCCTGGGCTTTATAGTTTTCATTACTCTGCATATTATGTCTTTTATAGGTGTACTTGTGTTTCCTGGTTGTCTGGTTCTCCTACTCAAAAGAACAGAGATTTTATCTTATTTGTGACAGTATTCTCATGACTTAGAGCCTGGCACATCGTAGAAGCTCAATAAATAATTGTTAGATGAATGAATGAATGAGGAACATGGTTGTGTTATCAATAAATGGTTGAGATAGTAGTATTTAGAAAACAAAAATGACTTAGATAAGTGATTCTCAAAGTACGCTCCACAGACCAGGAGTACCACCATCATCTAGGAGCTTACTAGAAATGCAAATCCTGGGACCCCCCAGCCCAGACCTACTAAGTTAGAAACTGGAGATAAGCAGAGTGATCTATTTTTTATCAAGACCTTCCAAAGATTCTGGATGCATGGTAAGTTTGAGAACCACTGGTTTCAGGGATAGGCCAAACCTAGCCTACTACCTATTTTATAATAAAATTTTATTGGAACACAGCCACTTGCATTCATTTACGTGTTATCTATGGCTGCTTTTGCACTACAACAGCAGTACTGAGTACTTGCAACACAGACATTATAGCCCACAAAGCCTATAATATTTACTATCCAGCCCGTTATAAAACAATTTTGATTACCTCTAGTTTAGATCAACGCCTTATGCTATGTAATTACGGCAAAGTAAACACATACGATTCATCTTCTTTTTCACCGAAATCCCACTGAAATTAAAGAAAAGCTATGGCTAAAGAAGGCACCATAGCATACTGAAAAACAGAAAAGGGTAGCATCAGTGGACCAGATTATTTGAGGAATTTCCAGGACATAAAAAACATCTCGGAGAGAGGAGACAACAGTGAGATCAGATTAAAAGAAACAAGTATAGAGACTGCACCACAAGATTCAAATAGAGGCTATTGCAAAAAGCAGCAATAGTTTCTAAGAAAACCGCAGATGAGTATTATTTTCCAAGTAAGCAAGCTAAATCAACCACCGAGAAAACATTGGGTGAATCATTAAAGGACTACCATCAGAAGATCTGGCCAGTGACCCTTCTACCCAAAGACTTGCACAGCTGGCTACAGATCTCATTTATAAACAAAGCTAAAAGGCTTTGGGAAAGGCTCATGGCTTCAGTATTGGAGTCTGAGAAGCAGAGTACAGCAAGACTGCCACAGTGACAGCAGAGGCACAGGAAGAAAAGGGAAGTCTGACTAGAGCATTTGCCACCAAGAAAAAGTGTCATGTACAGGTCTCTAAAGTAAGAGTACTGAAATAGGAGACTCCCAGAATAGCTTCAGGAAAAAGTACAAGGTAAGGACAGGAAGCCCATGTTTACCCAGTAAACAAACTACTTCCCCATAGTTATGGATTAAATTATGCCCCCCCAAAAAGATATGTTAAAGTCCTAATCCCTGGTACCTCAGAATGTGACCTTATTTGGAAATAGGTTATTGCAGATGTAATTAGTCAAAATGAGGTTACAATGGAGTATGGTGGTCTCTCAATCCAATATGACTTGTGCCCTTGTAAGAAGAGAGAGATGGCCGGGCACAGTGGCTCACGCCTGTAATCCCAGCACTTTGGGATTCCGAGGCGGGCAGATCACTTGAGGTCAGGAGTTTGGGACCAGCCTGACCAATATGGTGAAACCCCGTCCCTACTAAAAACACAAAAATTAGCTAGGTGTGGTGGCAGGCACCTATAGTCCCAGCTACTCAGGAGGCTGAGACAGGAGAATTGCTTGAACCCGGGAGGTGGAGGTTGCAGTGAGCCGAGATCGTGCCACTGCACTCCATCCTGGGTGACAGAGCAAGACTCCATCTCAAAAAAAAAAGAAGAAGAAGAAGAGAGAGACACAGAGAGGAGAATGCCATATGAAGACATGAAGACACACAGACACAGAGAGAAGACAATCATGTGAAAGGAGAGACAGAGGGCCAGGCATGATGATTCACATCAGTAATCTCAACAATTTGGGAGGCCTAGGTAAGAGAATTGCTTGAGGCCAGGAGCTCAAGACCAGACTGAGCAACATAGCAAATCCCTGTATCTACAAAAAAAATAAAAAATTAGCCAGGCATAATGGCATGTACTTGTAGTCCTAGCTACTTGGGAAGCTGAGGCAGGAGGATCACTTGAGCCCAGGAGTTTGAGGCTGCAGTGAGCTATAGTGCACTGCAGCCTGGGTGACAGAGCAACACCCTGTCTCTTAATAATAATAATAAAAAGACAGAGGCAGAGAAGCTCGAAGAAGAAAATAATCTCCTAGAGGCTTTGGAGGTTGCATGGCCTGACAGTACTTAGATTTTGGACTTTTAGCCTCCAGTACTGTGAAAAAATAAATTTCTATTAAGCCACTTAGTTTGTGGTTTGTTAGGGCAACCCTAGGAAACTAATACAGTAGACCTCCGGGCCACACATTCTACTGCTCCCTCTTTATCACCAAAAGTGGAACCCGAATTAACAGACAATCAAATTATCACCAAATACTTGGGGAAAATTAACATCATTAGAAAGGATCATCTGATTCAAATAACTGAATAACTAAAACTTGAAGAAAATTAATGGCAGCAACAGAATAAGACTTTTTAAGTATAATTTATTTGGAGGTATTCGAGAATATATTACTTTAATTAGCAAAAATATGACAGCTATGAAAAAAACAGAAACAATTGGGATTCTTGGAATTAAGACTATTATTACTATTTTTTTTTTCTTAGGGATGAGATCTCACTATGTTGCTCAGGCTAGACTCTAACTCCTGGGCTCTAGTGATCCTCCTGCCTCTGGCTCCCAAGCAGCTGGGACTACAGACCAGCATCACCACACCCAGTTTAGTTACAAAATATTTTTTAAACTATAAAAAACTATTCTGCATAGTAAAACACTGTTTATTAAGTTAAAAAAAGAAAAACACTCATGGAAAACAACAAAATACCTTTTGGCATACAAAAAGACATGCATATTTAAGAACATATATGAAATATCTTAAATAGAAACAATGGTGGGGAGAATGGGAACACGCGTCAAGGATGAAAGTTTTAAAAATAAACAAATAAGCTGGGCATGGTGGCTCACGCCTGTAGTCCCAGCACTTTGAGAGGCCAAGGCAGGCAGATCACCCAAAGTAGGAAGTTCGAGACCAGCCTGACCAACATGGAGAAACCCCATCTCTACTAAAAATACAAAATTAGCTGGGCATGGTGGTGCATGCCTGTAATCCCAGCTACTCAGGAGGCTGAGGCAGGAGAATCGCTTGAACTCGGGAGGCAGAGGTTGCGGTGAGCCAAGATCGTGCCATTGCACTCCAGCCTGGGCAAAAAGAGTGAAACTCCATCTCAAAAATAAATAAATAAGTAAAATAAACAAATGAGCAATCCTAAGCCAAAAGAACAAAGCTAGAGGCATCACACTGTCATGAGATCCTTGGGGTGTTGCTTTGCCAGCCGGAAAACCTCTGTGGCTGGTGGCACATTTCCCCAGGTTTTTACTCAGGCCCACTGGGCTCATTCCACCCACCTGGCCTGGCAGGCTGTGCTTGGCTCACACCACTGGCCCAAATCTCATGCCTACCAAGGACGAGCCAGGCACAGAGTAGCAAGGGGTATGTGAGTGAGAGTGGGGTTCAGCCACTGGGCACAGCCAGGCACACCGGCTGTGGTAAGGTTGGCAGCTCCAGGTGCCAGCATGGGTGCCAGCTCCCTATGAGGCTGCATCTGGACCAGGCATACCTGAAGCAGCTTCCACAGCTGGCACCAGGGAATGCGGTAGCACCCAGAAGCTTGGAGATGCCAGGAATCTGCAGAGCCTCAGAGAGGGTGGCACAGCCCTGGTTTGGGGAGCTCCTAGGTCTGGGATCCCCAAAGGGCCACAGCTGTCTCTCCTTCTCTCTTCTTTCTTTCTTGTTGCCTGCAACGTGGTGAGCAAGGGGCATATTTCATCCCTGTTTTTGTTACAGCTCTTTTAGCCCTCCCATTTGGCAAGTCCTGAGTTCTTGTCTTGCATCCAGGAAGAATGATGTACGCAAACAAGTGGAGGTGAGCAAGGTGAAGAGGAGCTTTATTGAGTGACAGAGGAGACCCTGGAGTGGGTAGCTCTTCTCCACAGGCAGTCATCTGATCATCTCCTTGATCTGGCTGAGCCCAGGGGTTTTATGGGCTTCAGAGGGGAGGAAGGGGTGGTGGTTGGTTCATGGGTGGCCATGGGGAGCCCAGAGAAAGCACCATAAGTTCCCATCCTGGCTCTTCAGCCAGGCCTCTGGATTCAGGCCATCCATGGCTCAAAGGTGGGGCTTCACTAGGGACCTGCCTCTTTCTGCCCTGCCTCCTGCTGTCATCCATAGCACTCAGGCTGTTTGTGCCAAGAGGCAACTGCAGGCCAGTGCCGAGCTGCCTTCAGCAACCCCCCTCACCCTCTCCCGTGCTTGTTGATACCCAAAGTCTGAAGGGCGCCAAGGCAGCAGGGGTCTGGTGTGTCAGCACTGCTCCAAGCATGTGCACCCACCCAGATTGTGACAGCACCCAGGCTCAGCCTCAATTTTGCTTCAAGATCAGAGCAGGCACCAGGAGTGGGGAGAAGCCAGGCTGTGGGAGCAGACACCTCCAAGCCTGAGGGGGCAGAGGGGCTTCCTGGGCCCCCAAGAACACAGGTATGCCCAGGTCCACAGCTGTGGCTTGGGTGGCTGCAGCTGTACCTGGGAAGCTTGAGGCTTCTGCACTGCCAATTCGGAAGGGCATGAGGCTTCTGCCTGTTCCCAGCTCTCACCAGCTCCATGAAGCTCAAAGCCAAGGCAGCGCCTCCCCACCTGCAGCTGGTGTCTTCGCAGCCACCACTCCAGGCAGGCGGCTGCTGCCATCAACATTACCCGACTTAAAATTATATTACAAGGCTTTCTATCAGGGTAAACTGTCAGTCAAAAAAAGAACAAAAAAGAAATAGAAAAAAATTATGCTACAAAAATATAGTAATCAAAATATCATGGTACTGGCATAAAAATGGACACATAGATAAACAGAACAAAATAGAGAACTCAGAAGTAAAGCCATGTACCTCCAGCCAACTCATCTTTAACCAAGTTGACAAATGTAGAAGAATGAAACTGGTCCCCTATCTCTCACCATATACAAAAATTAACCCAAGATAGATTAAAGACTTAAATTTAAGACCCAAAACTAAAAAAATCCTAGAAGAACACCTAGGAAAAACTCTTCTGGACATTGGCCTAGACAAAGAATTCATGACTAAGGCCTCAAAAGATTCAGAGGGGTAGGAGGGGAGTAAAGGATGAGAAATTACTCAGTAGGTACAATGTACGTTATTTGGGTAGTGGTTACACTAAAAGCCCAAACTTTACCTTTATGTAATATAACCATTTAAGAAAACGAACTTGTATTCCCTAAATTTATACAAATTAAAAATGAATGAATGAATGAAACAAGACACATGGGCAAATTATAAAACTGTGCTATGAATTAAGATGGTGTGATTAACTATTTACACCCAGGATCCAAAAAGGAGAAAACTTTACATATTAATAGGGAAACTAATTTCCAAAATAGATATAGCTGAAGATTAATTTACAGAACTAAACGTCTAAACTGAGGGATTCTCCCAGAACACAGTTCAAAAGAAAAAATTCATAAAATGGAAAACTTTAAAGAAGAGTTAAGGGGCATGAAAAGAGACCCAAATGATCTCAAATACCCATTGTGTAAGTTTCAGAAGGATGCAATAGAAGCAATAAAATAAGAAAACAAATAAATAATGGAGGGAAATTTCTTGGAGCTAGAGAAAGACACTAGACTTCAGAGCAAAACCTCTGTAAGATGAAGGGGCTGAGGAGGGAGGGGAGGAATGCACGCCTTTGCAAGCTTGATGGAACTTCAGGCCACCAAGGATAAAGAGAAAAATCCCAAAAACTTCCATAAGGAAGAAACAGACTTTTTTCTTTGGAAAGAAGAATCTGATTCCAAATAATTGAGGAGACAAAGTAGGTGATTATGCACATTGCTAAGATTTGGCTCTAGAAAAAGCTGGGCAGTAGATGGTATTGCTAGAAGGGATGTCATCAATAGTGAGCTAAGTGTACTAAAATTATCATTTTTCTCACAAAGCTTCATGTTCTGAAGGGAAAGAGGCAATTATAATTCTGGTCCCAGCTATAAATGGGCTGGTGCCAATGTATCATCACCCAACTGCTTCTCTAAAATCCAGCTAGCATCCGTCTCTCATAAGAAGCAGCATTTATACGAAGACATTCTAATGTCTACACATCTATAATCCAATATCTGTAATATAATCTATAATCTAATATCTGTAATCCAATATAATATCTGTAAATGCTAACTAGCATCATTTCAAATTATAAACCCCTATGAAGTCTCCCTGATAACTGACAATGAAGCCAGCATACGGAGACTTTTCCAGAGTCATGAGCTTGTGGGTGGCAGAACAAGGGCTGGGAGGCAGGCCTCCTGACTTTGTAGCCAGTACTGGTGCCACCATGTCATGCTGACAGCTCAGCACCAATCCTTCTATACTCTCGTGTTTTCTCCTGTTTGTGATAAAGTATGTACATCTGTGTCATTGGAAGGCTTGGAGAAGAGTCCAAAGGTGCAAAACAAAGCAAATCTCCCCACGCCTGGCAGAATCTTCAGTCCTGGCCTAATGAGCTCACCAGCTCAGTAAGTTCTGCGACTGCTTCGGGTTACCAAAAGAATAGAGTATGTAACAGTGCTAGGAAAAGAGACACTTAAAAACCCACATCCAGGCATTGTTCAATGACTGCTCATAAATACTTTATGGCAAAATTCTTTCTGGTGGCACAGAAGGCCATGAACAATCTGACACCTCCATTAGTCACCTCTGTTAGTCACCACTACGACTTCCTGACCCATCTCTGGGTTTCACTTCAGTTTTTAGATACCCAGCCCTAACAATTAAGCAAAACTTCATTGATAGTTCCTCTTCAAAAGTATTTCCAGAATAACTATTAAAATCCCATGGACTAGTCAAGATAGTGAGATATGCTTTTGAGTGAACAGCCACCATTTCTTCCTTTTAGAGATTTATTTTTTAACTTAACAAAAAGCAAATCTAATGTGAAACTTAATGAAAATTGTTTCAAAAACTTGAAATGCAACTACAAAATAGCCCATTATTGCCTAAGCTTTCTATACTTAACTAGTTTTCTAAATCTATATTACATAGGCTAGAGAAATAACATATTGTTTTTATATGTACAATCCAAATCTAGTCTCTCCGAATTTTCTTTAAGGCCAACTATTTTAATATAGGCCAGTATTTTACTCTATTATTCAATCGCAAACCACGTTTCTTTCCTCACAGTAGTGCATTTTGACAAAATCAATCTTTTCATTCTTTTCAGCAAATAATACAGAAATTGGGATTCATTCATGAGAAGTCAGTGAAAATAAAAATGATTTCAGATTTTCTTTACATTTGTATAATATCACTAGTAGAGGAGGAATGGCTTTCCAGACCACTTGTTAGGAAAAAAATATGAGTGGGAAATTACACTAAGCCTATATAAACAATTCCAAAGTAGAATTCTCTTTTCTCCTTGGTAAATAAATGCTTGATTTTCATAATTCAACATATAATTTTAAACTAGGGCAACCAAACTTGTGACATGAAAAGAGGAATTTTATTGTTAAGTTACACTGGTATACTGCAAAGTCATACCAAAAAAAAAGGAGCAAAATATATTTTTTAATAATCTTACACAAGAATGCTCAAGAATCTTCTACATGAGGTAACTACAGAAAAAAAGAACACTAGGTCAGCTGAAGGCTGAACTAAATTTGTTCCATAAAAGTTGGTGAGTTTCATTTTTCGCTTCTAAGGGGATAAAGGAAAAAGAATGTGCATTGTGTTTAAGAAAACCCAGAATACTGCCAAAAGTTTGCCACCCACTTTGGCATTCTGCCTTTATCCTGAAAGATAATTTCTTCTCCATTATAAACAGCCTATGTGAGATGAACTGTCAACAAGAGGGAAGCTAGAGTGAGAAACAGAGAAAAAGAACAGCATCATGCAAGGAAAGTTATGAAACAAATTGACTCTTGATTCTCTCTTGGCTTGCCTTTCTTAATGCAAATAGAATTAAAAAGTCAAATAGCCCTAATGTTAGCCAGGTGAAGTGTGGTTAGAAATGGTTGACTGGAAATTCCCTTGCTTTCATCAAACAATTGTTATGTGAATATTGCATCAGCTTGGTCCTTTTGATGTTCCTACATGACTTAAGAAAACTTTGTATTTCCAGTAGTGTATTTCCAATGACAAAAACTCTGCTGTGTGATTTTAGAAAATCACTAAAATTACCAGTGCTTTTGCTAGATCTTTCACAGTTGCAAAAACAAATGTTTTTGAACAAGGCTCTATTTTTCATGAAAATATTCAACTGAATGCAGGGAAAGTAAATGCAAAATATCTAGGGAAGGCACCAATCAAATCATGCAAGAAGAGATTTTTCTAGACTTCAAAGAAAAAGTATTCAGTGACTCCAAGGTGTGGGGCAAGGGAGGCAGGGGAGTGATGAATTTGTTTTCTTTGCATTGTTCCACTTCCTTGTTTGCTGTGTTGCACAAACTCTATTGAATATCAAGATTTGGCCTCTTATGAATAAGATACTTAATAGAGAAGAATGTCAGTTTTTTCAAGCCCATAAATACCTTTTAAATGTTCTTAGAATTTTACAATTGGATGAAAAAGCATCAAAAAACATAGTTTGTATAATTTTATCATTAAAAATATTTTCCATTATTATTCAAGGAGTTCATTGATGCTGAATACAAAATGCCTAAGATTTATTATTTAAGTTTATGAGCTAAAGGAAATCTTAGTGTTTATCTAGCCTAACTTCCTTGTTCTACATTTCTGTTTTGTTTTTTCAAATGATGTATCTTGTTTGCTTCACGATTATGTTAAAGAAAAAGTTTTTTTTCAGAAATAAGAAATAGATTATAAATTTTTAAAAAGGAAAGAAAATTGAGGAAAAAGGGAATTAAAGGATATTGGATAATATAGAGAAAGATATTTATAGGGCATAAAATCATTTCTAGTGGAAGGAGGACACATGGGTTTGTCATTGCCAGAGCACCTTTTGTTTTTCTGAGCATTTTGTGAGATGGCCAATTTTACCCAGCATAGAATCGAGTAAGAATGAAACTGAAATAATTTGCAAAGTTGAAAGTTGAGTGTGACCATAAGCCTCCAATCCTAGTTCCAGCCTGCCCACCATGCTGGGAATATAGTTTGGATATTTGTCCCTGCCCAAATCTCATGCTGAAATATAATCTCCAATGTTGGAAGTAGGACCTTGTGGGAGGTGTTTGGAACATGGGAGCAGATCTCTAGAAGCTGAGCAAATGCCAGCACCATGCTTCCTGTAAAACCTGAAGAACCATGAGCCACTTAATCCTCTTTTTTTATAAATTACTCAGTCTCATGTGTTACTTTACAGCAAGGCAAAAATGGCTTAATACCTTGGGCATGCTCCAGTAGAGATTAGAATTCACATGAAACAACAAATGAGAAACAGGGAGAAAACTATTAAGAGGTCTATGGTAGGGAAGATTGTGGCTATTGTCTCCATTTACTTTTAGAATTTCTTCGTGTGTGTGTGTGTGTGTGTGTGTGAGAGAGAGAGAGAGAGAGAGAGAGAGAGACAACTAGTAGAAACAGAGTAACCAAATCTCTTAACTGGAAATGACTTTATATGTTGTATTACTAAAAGACGTCCAATTTCCAACATCCTGAATATATACAGTGACAGAGGACAGATAACTCACTATTTTATGGGGTAGTTTATTCATTTTTGTAAATACCAGCCATTGTTCTTAATATTGTTATCAAGGGTCTCAACCCGAAAATAAATTCATCTCCCCTACCCATCTTTCGCAACAACAAAGCAAAAAATTCCCCTTCCAGACTTTGTCACATCTGTTAATGACATAGCCATTTTATCGAACTCAAAAACTTTGTGTTCCCTTGCATTTAAAAATCCAGTTATCAAGTGTTGCTAATTCCAATTTGGACTCCGTAGCATCCATTCCTACCCAGTTTCGTTTACAGCATACCATCACTTCTGCTGTACATTTATTCATCACACAGACAAACTCTGATATAATATGGAGGAAGATTATGCAAGGGCATGAATACTAGGAGGAACCATTGAGGAATATCATGGAGGCTGGCCACCACACAAGGTAACAGAATAGATGACCACTGATAAGATCACTGGGAAGAGGACATCTTTCTCCATAGGTCTAGAAGGAAAAGTTCTAGAGATAACTCTGTCTTAGTTTAGATCATGTGCCCATCTCTGAACCAATAATTATGACCAGAGAAATGGACTCCCTTAGTTAACCAGACTTGGGTCATGTGCTCTACCTATGGCTTTTTTTTTTTTTTTTTTTGAGATGGAGTCTCGCTCTGTCCCCCAGTCTTGAGTGCAGTGGCGTGGTCTCGGCTCACTGCAAGCTCTGCCTCCCATGTTAACACCATTCTCCTGCCTCAGACTCCCAAGTAGCTGGGACTACTGGTGCCTGCCACCACACCGGCTAATTTTTTTGTATTTTTAGTAGAGACAGGGTTTCACCATGTTAGCCAGGATGGTCTCGATCTCCTGACTTGTGATCTGCCCGCCTTGGCTTCCCAAAGTGCTGGGATTACAGACGTGAGCCACCGCACCCGGCCTACCTATGGCTTTTGAGGGCAAATGGTGTCATCTCCACCTGAATCACTGAATCAGAAAAGAGGGGATGCTGAACGGAAATACTACATATATCCTCTATTCTACCTCACATTTCAACTGCTTTCTTGGTCTTCTAAACATCCTCATATTACTGTCTCTATCTTCCTTTTCAAACAGTACATAGCTGACAAATTAACTTCAGTAAAACTCAACTTGGATCATATGTTTTCTTTTCTCAAAATCTTCCCTAAATGGGTCCTCACACTTAAAAGGTAAGTCCTTAGTGCTTACCTGGCATTCACACTTTTCTATAATCTCAACCCAGATTCTTCTGGTCTAATCTACAATTTTATACCTCCCTAAAAAAGTCAATTTACTCACTTTCTTCCTAAAATGACTTTGACTCCATGGCCTTGTTCACATTGTTCACATTCTTCATTCACCAAGAATACTTTTCTCTCTTCTTTCCTGTTCAAAGTCTACCCATTCTTCAAGTGCAAGTCAGAGTTTACTTCCATATAGATTTTTATAGTCATCCCAGCCTGAAGGAACTCCTTTCTCTCCCTTTCGCTCTCATGGTATTTTTGTTGTATCATTCTTAAATAATGATAAATGTTTTATTCTATTATGAATTCATATTTCAATAAGTAACACATATTATCTAGCTATCCATATTGCAAACTTCTTAAAGGCAAGGACAATGGCTTATATTTCTTTTCATTCTGTGAGAGACGTAGCTTGCATTTAATAAACATTTATTATATATCTGGATAATTATAAATATGAATATAGATATTAGTGTCACTATACTATGGCACTCAGTTTTAAAAAGAAACCTTCAACACACTAGCTTCAACCAAAGTCCACACCAGACAAGAGCTGTTCAGTAATTAGAAAGACACTACAATTCTAAAACGATGTGCACTTACTACTACATAGCTGCAGAAAATGAGTTGCTACTTTTCAAAATGAACGGGATTGCTGAAGCAATAATCTAGATTATTTTAGCCAACAGTAATATATATATATATATATATATATATATATATATATATATATATATATATATACTCCTACTTCAAGCTAGCTATCTACAATGGTTAGATATATCACGTACTGCTATTTTGCTCTTAAAAGAGTTTGTTTGAACTGAAGCATAGTCAGCACAAATTACTTCTGGGAAACCATTTCTGAGAGAATTTGGCTCTTTACATCTTTGGCCAGAATTCCTTGAGTTTTGGCTTCCAGTCTGTATTTTGCTTTCCTGGTAGAAATGTGTACTCCTAGTATCTTGCTGGCAAGGATGCCTCTGCCAAAAGGAAATACACACTACTTTATTCATGAAAGGACGGGAACACTCTCAGGTAGACTATTGGCATGTAGTCTAAGTGAAATGAGCCCACCCATCATTACAACCTTACCAAATATGTAAGACACTTCCAAGTATTGTGGATAAACACTCCTAGGTGTTGTGCATATACAAAATCATCCAGAAGTTACCCTAGAAAGGATGGCAATACAAAGTAGTATGCATGTTCCAAGAGAATAATAATAAGTGTCATAAATAATTACAGAAGGTAGAGTTTTTTTGAGTTTGGAAAGCTCAGGAAAGGTTTCAAAAGGAAACGGATCTAACCGATGGATCATTTAGTAAAGATGGACGATTTAGTAGAGTCCCACAAGAGTCAGGACTAAAAATGACATATTCTAGGCCAATAGGATAGAAAAAGAGGGCTAACATAGAGGCATAATAAGTAAAATAAGGTAGGCAATTTGGAAATACACTAGAGAAAAGCTTTAAGATTCTGTATTTTATACTATAGACAATGGAGATTTTTGAGTTTTCAAGCACCAGCAAAATAGTGTTTTAATACCAAATTGAGATATAATTGTCAGTTTTTTAAAAAAAAAGTTTTCTAAAAATAAAATAAAATCACTAAAATAATTTTGAAGAAAAAGATAAATTGAAAAAGATCTTTTGGATTGTTTTCAAAAAGATAGAAAACATGCTTTTGGAATAGAAATAACGCATAGCTTGGAATGGAATTAATGAAGCTCAAAGTCAGATCATGAGTAGGAAGCATAGAATTCAAGCACTTTAGAGGCTGGACCATGAAAGGTAACATTATAACTAAAATAATTCAGCACTTTTATTCACATTTAGTGCTTTTTTCCTGATTATAAAATAACCCAGATATATGGATAGGAAGAATCAATGTCATGAAAATGGCCATACTGCCCAAGGTAATTTATAGATTCAATGCCATCCCCATCAAGCTACAAATGACTTTCTTCACAGAATTGGAAAAAACTACTTTAAACTTCATATGGAACCAAAAAAGAGCCCGCATTGCCAAGACAATCCTAAGCCAAAAGAACAAAGCTGGAGGCATCACGCTACCTGACTTCAAACTATACTACAAGGCTACAGTAACCAAAACAGCATGGTACTGTACCAAAACAGAGATATAGACCAAAGGAACAGAACAGAGCCCTCAGAAATAATACCACACATCTACAACCATCTGATCTTTGACAAACCTGATAAAAACAAGAAATGGGGAAAGGATTCCCTATTTAATAAATGGTGCTAGGGAAACTGGCTAGCCATATGTAGAAAGCTGAAACTGGATCCCTTCTTTACACCTTGTAGAAAAATTAATTCAAGATGGATTAAAGACTTAAATGTTAATCCTAAAACCATAAAAACCCTAGAAGAAAACCTAGGCATTACCATTCAGGACATAGGCATGGGCAAGGACTTCATGTCTAAAACACCAAAGCAATGGCAACAAAAGCCAAAATTGACAAATGGGATCTAATTAAACTAAAGAGCTTCCGCACAGCAAAAGAAACTACCATCAGAGTGAACAGGCAACCTACAGAATGGGAGAAAATTTTTGCCATCTACTCATTTGACAAAGGGCTAATATCCAGAATCTACAAAGAACTCAAACAAATTTACAAGAAAAAAACAACCCCATCAAAAAGTGGTCAAAGGATATCAACAGACACTTCTCAAAAAAAGACATTTATGCAGCCAACAGACACATGAAAAAATGCTCATCATCACTGGCCATCAGAGAAATGCAAATCAAAACCACAATGAGGTACCATCTCACATCAGTTAGAATGTGGATCACTAAAAAGTCAGGAAACAACAAGTGCTGGAGATGATGTGGAGAAATAGGAACACTTTTACACTGTTGGTGGGACTGTAAACTAGTTCAACCATTGTGGAAGACAGTGTGGCAATTCCTCAAGGATCTAGAACTAGAAATACCATTTGACCCAGCTATCCCATTACTGGGTATATACCCAAAGGATTATAAATCATGCTGCTATAAAGACACATGCACATGTATGTTCATTGCGACACTATTCACAATAGCAAAGACTTGGAACCAACCCAAATATCCATCGATGATAGACTGGATTAAGAAAATGTGGCATATATACACCATGGAATACTATGCAGCCATAAAAAAGGATGAGTTCATATCCTTTGTAGGGACATGGATGCTTCATCCTACTCTTCACCAGTTAGAGTAGTTCCCTTAAGTACATAAGCAAACAGCTACTTGCATCACAAATTATTGTAATTGTAACAAAGTAATCTACATTCCTAATGACGCTGCATCATGAAGAAAACATAAAATTAAATAGCACGCAATCTATTTAAGAGATCTTAAAGAAATAATAATCATGAATAATTTTTAAAAACTATTGGACAATTATCTAAATAATTCCATAATTATTCTGAATAAATGATAAGCTGTGATCATCCTAATTAGCTTGGGAAAGGTTTTATATTAGAATAACATTCAAAAGCTGAAAAAATATGAAAAATTAAGGTAATAATAAAGTAACATAAAATAAATTAAAAGTTGCAATTACATTAAAAATCACTGTGGCCATAATTATGACCTGTAGACACATCTGGAATACAAGAACACAGGCACAGAAGTCACTTAACAAATTTTTCTTTTTATGAGTGATCAGCAATGAGTATTTTAACAGGTTTTAACACTACATTCAAACATTATCACACTTAAAAAGAGGGCTTATTATTGTATCAAAATATCTTTTTGGCAAAAAGTTAAAGCATAAGTTGAAATGTGATGAGTACAAAATGATTAGGGGGTATAATAAAATCATTATTCATCTTAATGCTTCATTCCAGCTAGCAATCCAAGTTAGCAAAAGTCACAGGAAAAACAAGGATTTTAAAAGTTGAGTATAAGATGAGAAATACTAACAACTATTTTTGGCACCTGTTTAATGCTTTGTGGCTCTATACATTTCTTAACTTTTCCTGCTTAGACTCTCTCTTTCAGTGAGTCTTTATTCTAGTATTCATCCTTTCCCAATCCAGTCTATGTGCTCTGAAGGAAAATTACCTCTTCCCTAGCCATAGGGGTGGACTCTGGATCAAACCATATCTGAAGCTTCCTCATCACTGGATCTTTCAATTATGAAACTAATACACTTCTTTTACTGGTCAAGTCATTTGGAATTAAATTTTATTTCATTAGAAAATTAAATTATATCATATATAATGTGTATGAAATATGTATACACAATTAAAATAATAATAATAAAATGAACACTCATGTACCAGACACCCAGCTTAAGAAATAAAACAGTGTTCAGAGCTCCCCTAAGTGCCCTGCCTTATTATAACTGGCTTCCCATCCCAACCCTGAGAGGTACACACCATCCTGAACTTTTGGTTTATGATATATAACAAATATCTTTTCACAATGTGACTAACCTTTTTCAGTTCCTCTATGGTTTCCATTCATTATAGAGAGTTTTTAATTTTAATGTCAAATGGATACATTTTTTCCTCTGCTAGTTCATATTACTGTATGTGTCTTATTTAATAGACCTATCCTGGCTAGGTACAGTGGCTCATGCCTGTAATCCCAGCACTATGAGAGGCCCAAGTGAGAGGATCACTTGAGCCCAGGAGTTCCAGGCTGCAGGAAGCCATGATTGTGCCATTTGAAAATATTATAGATAGATAGATGATAGATAGATAGATAGATAGATAGATAGATAGATAGAGATAGATAAATAGATATTTTTCTATGTTTTCAAGTTTTCCTTTTCATAATAAGTATTTTATTTTATTAGAATTGATTTTTGTGGGGTAAAGTACAATTTCACATTTTTCATAAAATTATTTTTCACAAAGTAACATAATGTAACCAAACTCAGGTTTGGCTGGTAGCTGCCTGAAAAGCCAAGTGCACAAGAGGCAAGGTGTGGTGGAAGGAAAGCAGCTTTATTCAAATGCCAGCAGTTGCAGAAATGGCTGGGCTCAAGCTGCAAAGAAACCATCTCAAATTTTTAAGCTAAGTGAAGGAGTTTACGAGGGGAAACACATGGGAATGGGAGTAGTGCAGGGTGCAGGCCTGCATGTGTTGTTCCCATGGTTATCTTGAGCTATTGCCCATCTGGGTGTGGCTGGCCCCATCTAGGTTACCAGATGAGTTGTAAATTAACCACCTAAAGAGGAAGAAGTCTGCAGCTAGGTCTCCATATCTGGTTTGTTTTGAGATTAGCTGGTGGAGTTTCTAAGGAAGCCTGTAGTCAGAGAAACATGCACGGTGCAAGGAAGTTTCTACTGGGAAAGAGGGAGAAGCAAAGAGCTTCAAAGTACATTTCAAAGCTATATTCTGAGATTGGAGAAATAAAATCTAAAATGCTTTTTAAACCTAAGATACTCAGTTACAAAAAACAATAGTTCTTCCTTCCTGCTGACATACAAGGCCTGCTCTGTCATAAATCAAGTTTTTTTTTCCTCTATGCCTGCACCAGTTTTTTTTTAATTGAGGAAAAAAATATATATATAATTCACCATATTTACCATTTTAAAGCTTGCAGTTCAGTGGTAATAAATACATTCATATTTGTTATTTTCCCTCTTCATCCCCTACACCCTCTTCTTAACCTCTGGTAACCCACAGTCTACTGTCTATCTTCATGAAATTCACATGTTTAGTGCCCACATACGAGTGAGAATGTGAGATATTTGTATTTTACTTAATGTAATGGCCTCTAGTTCTATCCATGTTGATGCAAATAACAGGAGTTCATTCCTTTTTATGGCTGAATAATATTCCATAATGTATATATAACACATTTCTTTATCCATTTATACATTAATGGACATTTAGGCTGATTCCATATTTTGGCTATTGTAAATGGGGCAGCAAAAAAACAGGGAAGTGTAGCTATCTCTTTTATACATTGATGTCCTTTCTTTTGGATATATACCCAGTAGTGGGATTGCTGGATCATATGGTAAGTCTATTTTTAGTTTTCTGAGGAACCTCCACGCTGTTCTCCATAGCGGCTATACTAATTTGCATCCCCACCAAGAGTGTATGAGGGTTCCCCTTTCCCCACATTCTTGCCAGCATGTTATTGTGCCTGGGTCAATTTTAATGCTACCTATTCTGTTCCCTTAGTCTGTCTAACCCTATAATATAGAATTTTGTAGCTATATAATTATCCTCGGTATCTAGGAGGGCAAATCATACTATATTGCTCTTCTTCTCTGGGAATTTTGTGACTATTCTTACCTCTTGCTCATCCATATTGATTTTTGAATTAATGCATCTAGTGCCATAAAAAATCTTGATGGGATTTTGACAGAAACTGAATTGTTAGATATATTTGGAAAGAGCAGCATTTTCACAATACTGAGTCTTTGTACCCAAGATTATGAACGATCTTTGGATATTCTTTAATGTCTTTTTCCATACGGTTTATACTTTTCTCCATGAAGTGCTTACATATCTTTTGTTAGATCTATTAATGGATACTTGGTATTTTCAATTGCCATAATAAATGGTATCTTTCTTAATTGCATTATTAAACTGCTCATAGCTGATGTATTGACATGCAATAATTTATTTATGTTAATGTTTTAAATTGAGCAATCTTGTTAAACTCTCTTATTAAATCTCATAATTTTTCTGTGGACCCTTGGGTTTTCTATGTAAGGTCATTTCATTTATGAATGACAATTTCTCCCCCTCCTTTTCAATCATTATACTTCATTTCTTTTTCTTTCCTCACTGCAGAAGCCAGGACTACAAGTACAATGTTGAACAGTGAGGTGATAGAGAGTGTCCTTGCCCTGTTTCTTATTTAAGAACATGCATTCAACATTACCTCAGGGAGTGTCATAAATCCTTACGGGGTGCTGAAGGGGGATGGTCTTTCTTCTGTACCATCTTCCTGCTGGCTTTCAGTGGTGACCCTGCCTAACAGGGGACCTCATATGGGCAAGATGATTGGTGGTAGCCAATTTTAAAAGAAGACAACAAGCTTTTGAGCCAGGTTGTCCGGCTCCAGCTTATTCCCTTAGCCTGTCAATGCAGTTAGAACCAGAGGAACAAAGTTACAGGAGCTGACCAAAAAGCTGAAGGAAAGAGTTATTTCTTGGTCCTTCTCAAGGGGAGGAAAAAAAATACTGAAAGCAGTGACACACAGCAAAAGTTTAATTTTTGAGATATGATTCTGAGAAATTTTTTTAAAAGAAACAGGTCATAAAATTAAAAGTAAAATATTTTGCAATTTTAGTGAGAGAAAAACAATACTTTAAGAAAACTTTATTTTAATATACGGGACCAATCTTAGAAGATTATTATAAATAATCTCTTTTTAATAATAACCAACTTAATCACCTACAAAATTCCTTTTATAAAGTCCACTTCATGAACCTTATGATGACTTGCACAGACCATCTATGATATGCTTGGAGTTTCTGACTTGTCCTAAACTTTTCTCTTTCTTAAATAATCAGTCATTTTACTTTAGGACAAAAGTTTACCATAGAAGATGCTTTTTTATATAAAATTATTCTCTTTTTTAATCTTCCTTACCAAAAAATACATCTTCATATCTATATCTTTCTTCAGGTCTCTCTTTTTCCTACTTACTGATTCCTTTCTAGCTTACCTCATAATTAACATTTTTAGTCCATAGTTTGAGTTGACCTTTAGATAACCTCTGAATTACATAAAATTATTATTTTCTTTTTTAATAAGACTAGAAACTGGGAGACATCTGGCCTCCAATGCTTCCCAGAGTGATGCAGAATTAAACAACCCAAAGAACAAAAATCATTAAGAGCAGAAAGAAAATTGTAAGTGTAAAGTTCAGGGCATGCAAGCATAGGGCAATGTGCATCAGAAGCTGCTGCCACAATAGCACACAGGACTCTCTATTTTACTGGCATGTTGCAAATAGGCCTAGTTTCCACACAGGAAAGAGTGTGCTATTCCCACCAGGGATATCCCTGTGGTAGGTACTTGTAGAACTACATGAGGTTTATTGGTGTTTATCCCAGATTTATTAGCTGGTATGCTTGCATCCCACTCTCCCCAAGGGTCAAAGTTCTTAGGCCTCATAGCTGAATAACAGTCATCAGCACAAAAGGGGTTACAGTCTTCATCAGCACTGTAATGGGAGTGATTAGATTGACATAACATATTTTGGAATATTAAAGTAATAATATTCCATTTTATCAAGAATTCCAGTTTTGGCCCCTAGACCCCATGCTTCCTTTCCTCTTCTGAAACTGTTAACTGGGTCTTGAATTATAGCTGCACCCCTATTTTGACCATAATACCATTCCTAGCAGGGAAACTGGGCAACTTGGCACTACCAGAAATTCTTGTTGAAATATTTGGGTTCTTTGTTTTAAATTGACAAGTCAGAGAAGGAGTAAAAAATCTAGTTTGTGGCTTTTCTTCCATTCTGATAACACTTATAGACCGAGAGGAAACTTTTCCTGCATGAGCAGTAAGGACATAGTAGTTTTCCCCTGTATCAAAAAGAAACTGAATTTGGATGCCCATGCTGTCCAGAGTTACCTGGGGTTCCTCAATGGTAATTATGATATTCCTGGACCAAGGGTGGTGAGGGAGACCCTGGGCCCCTTCAGTCTTCATCCAGTTCCTCCCTTTGCATTGCAAGAGTTTTGACTGGCCAAGCCCCTAGATGGGAGTAGGGCAGTCAATCCTCTAGTGCCAGAGATCATGACTGGTATCTTTGCACTGATGGCAGGGGCCTGGTGGGAGTCTGATACAATCCTTCATCCAATGTCCATTCTTTTTGCACTTGAAGCAAGGGTTACTACATTTGGGCCCTCACAGGTTTCCCTTTGACATCTTTTGGGCCTTTAGGGCATTGCCAATGACAGCAGCCATAATTTTAGCTTGTCATTTATTTTCCCTCCCTTTCTCTAGGTCACAATTGTTGTATACCATAAAAGCAGTATCCAGAAGCTGTGTCTGAGGCCCTATTTCCAACTTTAGAAACTTGCATCTAATATTAAGGGCAGACTGGCTTATGAAGTGCTGAGCTATAAGCGCTTTCCCTTGTTAAGAGGCTGGGTCTAGGTTAGTGTACAGTTAGTTTAACCAGCTGTAAAACATAGCCGGGATTTTTCTCCTTTTCCTGGGTGACTTCCCTCAGTTATTCCTTTTCTCATTCTTCCATGAAAGGTCAAAACCCAAAGACAAGGTTTGAAAACCATTTGCAAACTTCCTAGGATTTTCAGAGTAACTCTCTAGTTTTTCTTTACATTGCTGTGTATCTGTTACCAAAAAAGGGGCTTGGACTAGCATTGGGCACACTGGCCCTGCCACCTCTCTGAGAGTAAATAGGCTTGGGGGGTGGTGTATGGGGTACCTTTTCTATTGTGCAGAGGACTCAGCAGGATTTCTGTTGACTCTTGTGGTTTTTCTTCCAGTGTGCTAGGTGAAGAGTTACATGGAGGCAGCTGTGGTTCCCTCTGAGAGACTGGTGACCCCTGTAGCAGAGAATTATTTATGATGTCTACACCTGTCTTGGAACTCTCCTTTTGAGTACCTTTTCTTGAAACTTTGCATATAGATGGGTTCTACTAGGGGAGGCATTTTATCTCCTGTGTTGTTAAATGCACACAGTGAACAGGTTTGACAAACTTGCTTAGCCACTGAAGCCATATTAGATCTGATGAAGAGTTTGTTTACCGTGGCTAGTATGGCATCCCTCCCCTTGTGGAAGGAGTCATGCAAGGTTTTTATAGCTTTCCACTGGGCTGCTTGAGGGAGATACAATTTTGGCCACATATGTCACCAGAGTCTTTGTTTTTGACCCCCTTGCTCTTTTTATTAGTTGTTTTTCTTGTACTGTGTAGTTAGGTTTTACAGGGGAATTAGCATAAGGAAACAAAGCTAAAACTGGTTGGTATTGTATTCTGAGGGTTGCCACTTTGGCTTTCTTATCAGCCTTCCTGTTTTCCAGCACTATGGGCTAAGTGTTTCTCATGCCCCCTACAATAAATTATAGCTATAGCCTTTGGTAGATATATGCTTCTAATAATTGAAGAATTTCAGCCCCATGTTTTATGGGGGAATGCCTGCTGGTTAGTAATTCTTTTTCTTTCCAGACTGTGGCATGAACATGAACCACAAGGAATGTATATTTGGAAACTGAAAAAATGTTGAGCTTTTTCTCTTTTTCTAATATTAGAGTCCAAGTAAGAGCAATGGTCTCAGCTTTTTATGCTGATGTGCCTGGAGGCAGCAGCTGGACCTCAATATGTGTTGTAATTTACTATTGCATACCCAGCCTAGCATTCTCCATTTGACACAAAATTACTGCCGTCTGTGAACCAGCCATCTTCAGGATCTGGGAGAGGCTGATCTTTTAGATCAGGCCAGCTCATATATGTGTGTACAAATATCTGCTTGCAGGAATGATCACTGGGCATGTGGGCAGTAGTGGAGCTGGATTCAGGGTGTTACAAGTTTTAAGGATAACTTCTGGATTATTTTAAAAACATAGCCTGATATTTGGTTAACTTTTCTCCTGTCATCCAAATGTGTTCTTTTGCCTCCAAGATTGATTTAAGCTGGCATGGGGTTAGTACTTCCAGTGGTTGACCCAGAGTAATCATAGTGGCTTCCTCTACTAAAATAGCAGTGACTGCTATTGCCCACAAGGAGCTTGGACATCTCAAGGACACCCTGTCCAATTTATACCTTTCCTTTTTTTTTTTTTTTTTTTTTTTTGAGACAGAGTCTCGCTCTGTTACCCAGGCTGGAGTGTAGTGGCACCATCTCGGCTCACTGCAAGCTCTGCCTCCTGGGTTCACACCATTCTCCTACCTCAGCCTCCCCAGTAGCTGGGACTACAGGCACCCACCACCTTGCCCAGCTAATTTTTTGTATTTTTAGTACAGACAGGGTTTCACCATGTTAGCCAGGATGGTCTCGATCTCCTGACCTTGTGATCCACCTGCCTTGGCCTCCCAAAGCATACTTTTCCTTTTAGCTACATGTAAAGAAAAAGGCTTAGTGAGGTCTGGGGTGCCTAGTGCAGGAGCCTTACTGACAGCTTGTTTTAACTTAGTGAAGGCCTCCCTTATTTTTGGTGTGCATTCAATTGGCTCATTCTCTGGCCCCCACATGACTGCATAAAGGAGCTTTGCTATAAATCCAAAATTGGGAATTCATATTCTGCAAAATCCAAACATCCCCAGAAAAGGACAAATTTGTTTGGTGGGGGTGGGTCTAATCCACATATGGCTTGCACACGCTCTGGGGATATCTGTTGGGATTGAACCGTCCCCCAGTGATTGAGGATGCAGCCAAGGGGGAAGTCGGGTGAGATTGAAACTGAGTTTCTTGTCTTCTGTCTGTAGAGAACAAGGAAAACTTGAAATTTAGAGCGTTCTGGCCTAGGGCCACACACTGGGGCGTCCCCCATTGAAGGGCCTATGCTGGGGTTGAGGGCCAAGAGGGCATCCCCTGCTTGGGCCTCTTCATGACATGCCACATGTCTCTGGCCTTAGATGGGCATCAGCACCACTTGAAGAAGGATTCCGCCATATTTGGTGACCTATGATTAAGTTTCCCTTTAGTCCCCAGGTGCTGCCCTCAGCTTTTGGCATCTCTGTAGCTGGCCAAAATAGTTTTCTTCCCCAAATGGTTTCCTTAACTATTGTGGTAACTGTAGTTTGAAGGGCAAGGAATTGCAGACTCCCCAGCTTGAATTTGTTAAAGATTGGCCTCTTGATAAGGGAAGAGAATGCCCTCTGACCAGATAAACTACATGCAGTGATTTCCCCATGGATCCGCTGCACAACTTAGGCAATGATCCGAGAGTCTCCACCAGGATTTTTCTCTTAGCACCAGGTCTGCTAAACTAAAACGATCCAGATCTGGTCCCTCACAAAAGAAGCAGGGTTTTTTTCCTTATTTAGCTATTGCCTGGGTCCTTTGGGTCGGGGTACAGTAATTTCTTGTTTCAACATTACGAAAACAAAAATCAGAATGTTATGTCTTGCCACACACACAAATACCTCACAGGCACAGGGATTTGTCTTGTGCCTGGTGAAGCCTAATTGCTCCGTTCCCCACCAGCTTATCCTGTCCGAGTCTTCCAGCAGGGGGGCACCCTAGTGGCTCTTAACTACCCATCTTGTGCCCCCAAAGAGTGCCATCAGAGGAAAGAATCAGAAAGCAAAACCAAAAATAAAAATCCCAAATTGGCGCTTACCTCCTGGCTGGCTTACCAAAAATACTACGTTACCAGCTGATGTTGCAAAGTCCCAGGTTCTTCACTGAGCAAAGAACTGGACATGACACACAAATAGCAAAGCAGCAAAAGATTTATTAAGCACAGTACAATTTGCAATGGACTGGGCTGACCCACAAGTGGTATCAGCCCCGATTTGTAACATTTCATGGCCTTTTATTATGTTTTTTTACTCTAACTTACTCAACTTTATTTTTTTGTGACCAATTGCTCATCCTTGCCTTTCCCTTATTGCACCTTAACCTTACTTTATCTCTTGTAGGCTAATTGCTCATTCTTGCCTTTCCCTTATTGTGCCAACTTACTGTTTACTTCTTTTTATCTAGTATGCTCTGCTTTTGTTTTTGTTTTGCTTTTGTTTTTGTTTTGAGATGGAGTCTCACTCTTCGCCCAGGCTGGAGTGCCATGGTGCAATCTCAGCTCACTGCAACCTCCACCTCCAAGGTTCAAGCGATTCTCCTAACTCAGCCTCTGGAGTAGCTGGGACTATAGGCATGTGCCACCATGCCCAGCTAATTTTTGTATTTTTAGTAGAGACTCGGTTTCACCATGTTGGCCAGGCTCATCTTGAACTCTTGACCTCAAGTGATCCACCCACCTCTGCCTCCCAAAATGCTGGGCTTACAGGTGTGAGCCACCACACAGCCCTCTGCTTTTGTTATCTTGCATGTTCTCCTTAAGCTAGCCTACATCCAACAGTTCCCCTTCGCCCCCAGCTTCCTCTGCTATTCACCTACCTCAACAGTGATATACTTACATCGTATTTCTTTTCATTGATATTGGCCTGGTATCTCTTTTGAATCTGTAATTTTTAGTTGTTCTGTGCTCTTGAGCTTTATGCTTAACTTTTATAAATAGTATATATATGTATTTGTTTTAACCTAATCTGAAAATTCTCTCTTTTAAATGAATAGCTTATTCCATTCATATTTCTGGTGATTACTGATACATTTGGATTATTGCCACCTTCTTTTTCTTTTTTTAGAGAGATAGGGTCTCTTCTGCCACCCCGCCTGGAGTGCAGTGGCACCATCATAGCTCACTGTAACCTTGAACTCCTAGGCTCAAGCAATCCTCCTGCTTCAGCCGCCTGAGCAGCTAGGACTACAGTTGCATGCCACCATACCCAGCTAATTTTTTATTTTTTGTAGAGACGAGGGGGCCTTGCTATGTTGCCCAGGCTGGTCTCAAACTCCTGGCTTCAAATAATCCCCCATCTTGGCTACCCAAAGCACTGGGTTTACAAACATGAGCTACTGTGCACAGCCTATTTCCACCTTCTTATTAACTGATTTTTATTCGCTTCATTTTTTATGCCTTTTCTTCTTTCCCTAAATTTCCCTTCTTCTTCCTCACTCCCAGCAGACAACTTTGCATCTTATTTCACAGAGATAAAAGAAGCAATTAGAAGATAACTTCCACATGCCCCCCACAACATCTAGCTACTTCACTGCATGAGGGACCCATCTATAACCCTTTCTTCTATTGAGGATAAACTGCTCATTCTCCTAGCCAAGGCCAGCTTCACCACTTATCCACTAAATACCATCTCTTCTTGCCTACCCAATGACCTTGCTCAAACAATTCTCTACTCTTTTAAATCATCAATCTTTCAATCTCTGCTGGATCATTCCCATAACCATACATATATAGGATTGTTTTTCCATTTTAAAATAACTTTTTTTCTGGACTCTATCTTCTCCTTCAGCTACCACACCATTTCTCTTCTTCAGCTTACAAGAAAACTCTTAAGAAGAGTTGCCTATACTTGCTGTCTCCAGTTTCTGTTTTCCCATTCTCTGAACCAATTCCTATCAGGTAAGTTACCAATAATCTTCCTTTCTTTTTGTTTTTTTTTTTTTTGAGATGGGGCCAAAGTGCAGTGCTGTAATCATAGCTCACTGCAGCCTCAAACTCTTGGACTCAGGTGATCCTCCCACCTCAGCCACCCAAAGTGCTGGGATTACAGGTATGAGCTACTGGGCCCCCTGGCCTGCACATTTTAAATCTTGTTCTCATTTTTCATTCTACTTGATCACTCAAAGTCCAAGCTACTCAGGAGGCTGAGGTGGGAGGTTCACTTGAGGCCAGCATTTCAAGTCTAGCCTGGGCAACATAGCAAGAACTTGTCTCTAAAAAAGGAAAAAATAAAAAGTATTTGACACAGCTGATTATTCCCCTTTCTTTGAAATATTTTTTTCACTTGGCTTCTAGGACACTCAATTGTCCTGCTTTTTCTCTTACCTCATTAGTGGCATCTTTTTAGTTTCCTTTATCCTTACTCCTTCTCTCTCTCACTACCAAACAGTGGAATACTCCAAAACTCAATCCTTGGGGTTCTCCTCTTTTCTAACTACTCTTACACCATTGGTGATTTCATGGTTTGTATATCTCATATGCCAATAACTCCAATTAATATCTCTAGACCAGACTTCTCCTCTGAACCCCAGACTCAAATATCCAACTCCTCACTTATCATCTCTAACATAACATTCCCCAAACTGAATTCCTGATCTATTTCCCATCCTAATTTTGTTTGACACAATCTCTACCTTCTCAGTGAATGGCAACTCCAAGTCCTCCTGTTGATCAGGCCTAAAATCTTGCCATTATCTTTGACTCTTCTTTTCTCAGACCCCACAGTCAATCTACCATCAAGTTCTGTTGGTTTTACTTTTAGAATACATTTGAGAATCCTACATTTCCCCTAACTCCACTCCTACCACCTTCATCTATTCCACTATCACCTTTCACGTGTATTATTACAACAGCTCCCTAACTAGTTTCCCTGCTTCCATCCTTGTCTCCCTTCAATCTATTTACTACACTGTAGCCAGAGTTAGTCTGTTAAAATATAAATCAAATCCTATCACATCTGCTTAAAATCCTCCAAGGCTTCACATCTCATTCTGTTAAATTCCTTATTTAGCCTGCAACACCCTAAACAATCTCAGCCCAACTGCTTCCCCACATCCTACCTTCTGTCCAAGCTCTCTGACCTCATCTCCCACTAGTTGGTCTCATTCAGTCTTTTCTAGACAAGCTGGCTGTTCTGTGGACACAGCTCCTGTCTGGCCTCAGGGTCTTTCCACTTGATTTCACCCTTACTAGGACATTTCCCCCTAGCTGTCTACATGGCTCACCTACTTATCTCTCACTTCCCACTAAAATGTCACCTTGAAGGCCATTCCTGTCCATATTCCTTATTTATTTCCCTTTCTTAATTTTTCCTGTAGCATTTATCATCATCAAACATGCTTATATTTCTATTTGTATAACTTATGTATTGTCTGTCTTTCTTCAATAGAACTGATGCCTCATCTTTGGCATCTTGGTACAAATTAGAAAATGATTCAGGCATGTGCGTGTTTGCTCGTACACACACACACACACACATACACATACACACATACACGTTCATCCCACCCCATGCACAGGATTTGGTTAGCAGCTACATTTGTGTAAAGAAAAAGGCATGGGTGGGAGCAGAGTAAAAGACGAATTTTATCCACCTCCAGTGTCCCCCTCCCCATTCAACTCCTCAGCCAGGTGCCTTTGGGCAGAACATTATGCACATGATTGACAGCTCTAAGTAGAATGTAAGCTTCATGAAGACAGGGATATTTTTTGTCTTATTGCTTCTTGTGTCCCCAGTACCTTAGAAAGTGGCACACAAACACTCAATAAATATTTGAAACATAAATTAATAGTTTGAAAAAAAAACAAAGGGTAAAAGTTATTAGTTGTTATTTTAAAATAAAAAACTAAATGACATAATCCTGGAAAAGAGGGCCTCAGAACATTGATGAAGTTCATAAAATGGGTAAAGTGACTGCTGTAAAATAACCCAGAAATTAAGATAATAAGGCCTAGCATACATACCAAATATTGGAAAGTATGGGAATTATTTTACTATGTAATTGTATAATAAAAATAAGAACAGGAGAATGTTGTTCTTGGCACTTTTAAGTCAATGACCTACTTTTTACTTCTTGCCTTGACTAAGATGCACTACAAATTTTAAAGTCCTTTGAATGGTACATTCTTTGGTGATTTACTTTTAGAGGGAAATAGTTGATTGTTCAAAATCAATAAACAGGAAAAAATAAAAAGACTATGGAAAGTCTGTACACAGTAGCTGTCCCAGTGTCTCTTTTATTAAAGTTTTATTTCCTCTTTATTAAAATGTTTGCCCAATTCTCTTGCCCATTTATGGCAAGCATAAACTGTTGCTTCTCATCTGAATTTGTGTGAGCTATTTTGAAATATTTAAGACATTAATCTTTCATTCAGTTTACAGTAAATATTTTCACTCAGTTTATGTTTTGGAAAAAATATATAGAACTTTAAATTTTATTTAGTCAAATTTGTAAGTCTTTATCTTTGAGATTGCTGTCATCTATTCAAGCTTAAGTAGCCTACCAGCAATATGACAAACTTTCATTTCTGCTTTTCTGATTTTCTTTTCCATGTGACTTTGAAATTTTAAAATTTACATACCTAATAGAAATTAGTTTGGTGTATTGTATGAAACTGGTACTATAAAGCATTTTGTTACTTAAAAACACTGTGATCAATTCTGGTAACATTTGTTTAGAAATAAACTCTAACCTCTTTTCAGAGATAGTTGGATTTAGAGTCATAAAATTCCAACATTTCAAAGGACATTTCCATTTTACTTAAATTTGCTTTAAAAATAAGTTAACTATCTTAAATGTATTTTAAAAGATAATAAAACAGAGATTAAAATCAGCTCCTGCTTTAATATCTCCTCCATTACTAATCCTCTGATCTCTTTACAGTCATGAAGGTCAAACATTTATGTTTATAGAAACAGAAGTCCTATTTGTTTCGTAAAGCTGGTTTATTTTATCAGGTATTAACAATGGGCATCAAAAAGGTGATGTAACAGTATGAAAGCATGAAATAACGTCTTTGTGATTTTTTTTAAAGAATAAAGCAGTGCTTCTGTCTGGGGACTTGGGAGGCTGATGAGGGAGGATTGCTTAAGCTTGAGAGTTTGAAGCTGCAGCCAGGTGTGATCACACCACTGCACTCCAACCTGGGTGACAGAGTGAGATCCTGTCTCTAATATATATATATATATATATATATATATATATATATCCACACACACACACACATACACACACTATATATATACACACTAAGTATACTAATACATTTATACTATATATAGTATATATACTGTATATAGTATATATAATATATAGTGTATATATTTTATATAAACTATATATAGTATATATACACTATACATACTATAGTATAGTATATTATATATAGTATATATATTATAGTATACTAGATATACTATATAGTATTCTCTATATATACTATATATAGAATACTGTATATATTCTATATATATACTCTATATACTATATATTCTATACATATACTCTATATAGTATACTATATATACATATATTATATATAAAGAGTATATATATAGAACTTTGATCACAGAATTGATCACAGTGTTAAGTAACTATATATTTATACATTTATATTTATACTATATATAATATACTATTTATATTTATACTATATAGTATACTATATATAGTATAAAAATATAGCATAAATATAGTATATATAGTATAGTATACTATATACAGTATACTATAGTATAAATATAAATATAAATGTATAAATATACATGTATAAATATGAATGTATAAATATATAGTATAAATATAATGTATAAATATAAATGTATACATGTATAGTATAAATAGAAATGTATAAATATATGGTATAATATAAATATATGTATATAATAATATAATATAAATATATGTCTATAATAATAAAGCAAAGAAGAAAATGGTGTGCTAAAAAAGTGTTTACAACTGTACCTTAAGTTTTTGAGCAGTTTGTATAAGAGATACAGAATATATATTATTGATCAAACAAGGAAAATGAACATTTTTGGGTTCTTGTTTTGGTTATCTATCATTGCACAATAAATTGCCCCCAAATTGACAGCTTAAAACAATAACTTATTATTTTCACACTTCATTTTAAAGACAATTGTATTTCACAACTTTCATTTTAAAGACAATTATATTTCGCAACTTTCATTTTAAAGACAATATAACTAAGGCTCAAAATGGTTAAGCAAGTTGCTAAAGATTCAAATAAGTCATTGAAGACATTCTAACTCCTGATCCACATTAATTTGCATGGCAACATACTGCCTTTTTCATTTATTAAGTAGTATTCCAACTATAACTAAATTATACTAGCAATTCAACTGAAATTGGGTATGACTGATCCTTATTAATTTTTAGGACTTAAATGTGAGAGTTGTGAGGTAATGGAGAGTATAGAGCAGAGTAGGGAATTAAAAAAAAGCCCAAGTTAGTTCTAGACTAGTGTTTCCCAACTTTGAATAAAATATGACTCATTTTAAAGAAAGAAGAAGGGAAAAAAACCCATGACTACACTGTTGACTTAAAACTTTTAAATTAATAAAAAATGATAAAGGGGATATCACCACCGATCCCACACAAATACAAACTACCATCATAGAATACTACAAACACCTCTATGCAAATAAACTAGAAAATCTAGAAGAAATGGATAAATTCCTCGACACATACACTCTCCCAAGACTAAACCAGGAAGAAGTTGAATCTCTGAATAGACCAATAACAGGAGCTGAAACTGTGGCAATAATCAATAGCTTACCAACCAAAAAGAGTCCAGGACCAGATGGATTCACAGCCAAATTCTACCAGAGGTACAAGGAGGAACTGGTACCATTCCTTCTGAAACTATTCCAATCAATAGAAAAAGAGGGAATCCTCCCTAACTCATTTTATGAGGCCAGCATCATCCTGATACCAAAGCCTGGCAGAGACACAACCAAAAAAGAGAATTTTAGACCAATATCTTTGATGAACATTGATGCAAAAATCCTCAATAAAATACTGGCAAGCCGAATCCAGCAGCACATCAAAAAGCTTATCCACCATAATCAAGTGGGCTTCATCCCTGGGATGCAAGGCTGATTCAATATATGCAAATCAATAAATGTAATCCGGCATATAAACAGAACCAAAGACAAAAAACACATGATTATCTCAATAGATGCAGAAAAGGCCTTTGACAAAATTCAACAACACTTCATGCTAAAAACTCTCAATAAATTAGGTATTGATGGGACATATCTCAAAATAATAAGAGCTATCTATGACAAACCCACAGCCAATATCATACTGAATGGGCAAAAACTGGAAGCATTCCCTTTGAAAACTGGCACAAGACAGGGATGCCCTCTCTCACCACTCCTATTCAACGTAGTGTTGGAAGTTCTGGCCAGGGCAATTAGGCAGGAGAAGGAAATAAAGGGTATTCAATTAGGAAAAGAGGAAGTCAAATTGTCTCTGTTTGCCGATGACATGATTGTATATCCAGAAAACCCCATTGTCTCAGCCCAAAATGTCCTTAAGCGGATAAGCAACTTCAGCAAAGTCTCAGGATAGAAAATCAATGTGGAAAAATCACAAGCATTCTTATACACCAATAACAGACAAACAGAGAGCCAAATCATGAGTGAACTCTCATTCACAATTGCTTCAAAGAGAATAAAATACCTAGGAATCCACCTTACAAGGGACGTGAAGGACCTCTTCAAGGAGAACTACAAACCACTGCTCAATGAAATTAAAGAGGATACAAACAAATGGAAGAACATTCCATGCTCATGGATAGGAAGAATCAATATCATGAAAATGGCCATACTGCCCTAGGTAATTTATAGATTCAATGCCATCCCCATCAAGCTACCAATGACTTTCTTCACAGAATGGGAAAAAACTACTTTAAAGTTCATATGGAACCAAAAAAGAGCCCGCATCGCCAAGTCAATCCTAAGCCAAATCCTAAGCCAGGAGGCATCACGCTACCTGACTTCAAACTATACTACAAGGCTACAGTAACCAAAACAGCATGGTACTGGTACCAAAACAGAGGTATAGATCAATGGAACAGAACAGAGCCCTCAGAAATAACGCCGCATATCTACAACTATCTGATCTTTGACAAACCTGACAAAAACAAGCAATGGGGAAAGGATTCCCTATTTAATAAATGGTGCTGGGAAAACTGGCTAGCCATATGTAGAAAGCTGAAACTGGATCCCTTCTTTACACCTTATACAAAAATCAATTCAAGATGGATTAAAGACTTAAATGTTAGACCTAAAACCATAAAAACCCTAGAAGAAAACCTAGGCATTACCATTCAGGACATAGGCACGGGCAAGGACTTCATGTCTAAAACACCAAAAGCAATGGCAACAAAAGCCAAAATTGACAAATGGGATCTAATTAAACTAAAGAGCTTCTGCACAGCAAAAGAAACTAGCATCAGAGTGAACAGGCAACCCACAAAATGGGAGAAAATTTTTGCAACCTACTCATCTGACAAAGGGCTAATATCCAGAATCTACAACGAACTCAAACAAATTTACAAGAAAAAAACAAACAACCCCATCAAAAAGTGGGTGAAGGACATGAACAGACACTTATCAAAAGAAGACATTTATGCAGTCAAAAAACATATGAAAAAATGCTCACCATCACTGGCCATCAGAGAAATGCAAATCAAAACCACAATGAGATACCATCTCACACTAGTTAGAATGGCCATCATTAAAAAGTTAGGCAACAACAGGTGCTGGAGAGGATGTGGAGAAATAGGAACACTTTTACACTGTTGGTGGGACTGTAAACTAGTTCAACCATTGTGGAAGTCAGTGTGGCGATTCCTCAGGGATCTAGAACTAGAAATACCATTTGACCCAGCCATCCCATTACTGGGTATATACCCAAAGGACTATGAATCATGCTGCTATAAAGACACATGCACACGTATGTTTATTAAGGCACTATTCACAATAGCAAAGACTTGGAACCAACCCAAATGTCCAACAATGATAGACTGGATTAAGAAAATGTGGCACATATACACCATGGAATACTATGCAGCCATAAAAAATGATGAGTTCATGTCCTTTGTAGGGACATGGATGAAATTGGAAATCATCATTCTCAGTAAACTATTGCAAGAACAAAAAACCAAACACCACATATTCTCACTCATATGTGGGAATTGAACAATGGGAACACATGGACACAGGAGGGGGAACATCACACTCTGGGGACTGTTGTGGGGTGGGGGGAGGGGGGAGGGATAGCACTGGGAGATATACCTAACGCTAGATGACGAGTTAGTGGGTGCAGTGCACCAGCATGTCACATGTATACATAGGTAACTAACCTGCACATTGTGCACATGTACCCTAAAACTTAAAAGTATAATAAAAAAATTTTTAAATTAAAACTTGCATAAATATGTTCAAATATAAAATGAATTATAAATTTCTTATGATTACAGTTTACACACAACTATAAAACCAAAACAAATTGCAAAATTGTTAAATTATATCTAACATGTATAGTACATAATAAGTACTAGGCACTTTACATCTATCAACTTATTTAATATTCACAACCCAATGAGTTGGACATGATTATTATCGCCATTTAATAGATGAGGCAACCAAGACTGGAAGAAGTTAAACAACTTGTCCAATGTCCCAAAACTGATAAATGGCAGAGCTGGATTTCACAGAAAAGTTAACAGACAAGCGAATGTGAAGAATGATACCGTTTTACAGAAGTTAAATTGTTCCTTGTAATGTGAATATGGTATTGACTTTAACTGTAGATCTTCTGGCTTTAACATACATAAATTAAAATGAGCGGGATAGTGACTAATTTCTCCCACCACTTGTTTTTCTCTTCTGTCAACTGCTAAATATATATTGGCACAGCACAAATTAATGTCATTTGGTCTTCATTTTAAGGGAATGGCTTGTTACAAATTAAGTCTACATCTGTTCTCTCAAGTTTTTTCTTAAGACAATTCCTGATTACTATTTTTCTTTATTATTGGGATTTAATTCACATACTATACAATTTATGCCTTTGAAGAGTACAGTTCAGTGGCTTTTAGCGTATTCACAAACTTGTGCAGCCATCATCACTAATTCCAGAATATTTTCATCATACCAAAAAGAAATCCCACACTCACTAAGCAGTTAATATAGTTTAGATATTCGTGCCTTCAAAATCTCATGTTAAAATTTGATCCCCAGTGTTGGAGGTGAGGCCTAGTAGGAGGTGTTTTGGTCATGGAGGGGCGGACCCCTCATGAATGGCTTGGTGCCATTCTTACTGGAGTAATCCCATGAGAACTGGTTGTTAAAAAGAGCCTGGCACCTCCCTCCTCTCTTTCCTTTTCTTGCCATGGGAAACCTGCTCCCCTTCGTCTTCTGCCATGAATAGAAGCTTCCTGAAGCCCTCACCAGAAGCAAATGCTGGTGCCATGGCCATGCTTCTTGTATAGCCTGTAGAACTGAGTCAAAAACTCTTCATAAATTACCCAGCCTAGGCATTCCTTTATAGCAATGCCCCACACTCTTCCCCACCAGCCAGTAGGTTGGCAATTATCAAACTATTTTCTGTAATGATTTTCCTATTCTGAATATTTAATATAAACGGAATTATAAAATATGTGGATCTTTGGGTCTGGCACCTTTCACTTAGCATAATTTTTCAAGGTTTATGTTGTAATCCATGCCAGTATTGAATCCCTTTTTATACCTGAATAATGTTTCATTTTGTGGATGGGATCATATACATTTCATGTACATTTTAATCAATTAATGGACATTTGAGTTGTTTCTACCTTTGGGCTACTATGATAATGCTGTGATAATATTTGAGTGCAAGTTTTTGTGTAAAAATGTTTTCAGTTCTCTTGGGTATGTAACTAGGAGTGAAATTGCCCAACTGTTTTCCAGAATAGTTGCACATTTTACTTTCCCACCAGCAATGTATGAGGATGCCAATTTCTCTACTTTCTCACCAAGACTTGATATTGTGATACTGACTTTCTGATTATAGCCATCTCAGTAGGTGTGAGTGGTATCTCAGGTGGTTTTGATTTGCATTTATCTAAGGATTAAGGATGTTGAGCAGTTTTTTGTTTGCTTATTAGCCATGCATATCTTCTTTGAAGAAATGTGTATTCAGATTCTTTGGCCATTTTGTAATTGGGTTATTTCTCTTTTTATTCAGCTGCAAGAGTTCTCTCATTAAGATCTGACAGGTTAATACAACACCAATGCAATGATAAATGCAAAAAACAGGGACTCTGAAATTGCGTGGTTGTACTCAGTTATAAGGTGGTCATCCATGAGATCCAGAATCAAATTTGATGAAATGGTTAAGATTATAATGTTTTATAATTTGTTTATTTGAAAATATACATTTTAAATGTTTGCTAGAGAGCTCTAATATCCTCAAGAATACCTACAATGTAAACACTGTTCTATGCATAGACTAAATCCTTAGCAATAGACAGAAGGAACTGAGTGCTCTTTGAGTGAGGGAATGGGCTTGACCAGTGTTTGAAGATTTAAAAATGAATATGAAGACATGTTGTGACACTAGGGTATGATTATATTTTTATATTTAAGTAGAATCTGATTATCATCAGAAAAACTCTAATTTTAAAATCCATAGCTGGCAATATCCATGAATTCAGCCCAGGTCATCAAATGCTGAAAGCACATGGGTCAGATTGACTGTCTCCATTTTTTCTTGCTTACTTCAAAGCTATGAAGAAATCCAAAGCCCTTGCTGATACTCTTCCATGATATATTCCTTTTAAATGCTTGAAAAGTTTTCCCTTCCTACAGGAATCCCCCAAACACAGCTGTCCTTACACTGAGCCCCTATTCAAATTTTGGTTCCTCTTTCTAACATTGGTCGTCAGTCAATTTTGCTGGTCTATACCAACTGCAGATCTAGAGCCAATGCTTATAGAACTTTTCTGAGAATTCTTTTAATTTCAGATAATTTTTTAAAATTACCACAAAATTAGTTTAGAAGAATTCGCAGAGAGGTACATTGGGAGGGAAATAGCTTTGAGGCCCTTTATGGATTTATGACCAAAGCTATCCAGTCAAATTCCTCCAGGTATTTTTGCTATTTCCTATGGGTATACTGAAATTACACACATTTTAAAGCTTCCTTAATCAACTTAAACAAATACAAATAATAAAATTCAGTGTCAATGAGATACTGAATCTAAAAGATAAAAGTACATCCATATTTTTATAATGATTTTTCAATTGTTATGGAAAGAAATATGAGACTATGTAAACAGAAAAAATAAAATTTCTTTTAATTAAAAAACCCACATTAAAAAATATATCCCAAGAAAATATTCCCATCACTTATTACTCCAAAGAGTAATTTGTTCAAGGAGGTTAAAGCAGTGTTACTTATAATAGTTAAAGAATCAGAAAATGTACTTTCCTAAAATTTAGGGTTAAGAAAACTATTCTAGGCCAAACACAGTGGCTCACACATGTAATCCCAGCACACTGTGAGAGGGATGGGTGATGTGGGAAGATCACTTGAGCCTAGGCATTTAAGACCAGCCTGGGCAACCTAGGGAGATCCCCTCTCTACAAGTAATAAATAATTAGCTGGGTGTGGTGGCGTGTGCCTGCCTGTAGTCCAGCTTCTGGGAGGCTGAGGCAGGAGACTCACTTGAGCTCAGGAGGTTGAGGCTGCAGTGAGCCTTGACCATGCCACTGCACTCTAGCCTGGATTACAGATTCAGACCCTGAAAAAAAAGAGAAAGGAAGGAAGGAAGGAAGGAAGGAAGGGAGGGAGGGAGGGAGGGAGGGAGGGAGGGAGGGAGGGAAGGAAGGAAGGAAGGAAGGAAGGAAGGAAGGAAGGAAGGAAGGAAGGAAGGAAGGAAGGAAGGAAAAACTAGTCTATACCAATATATAAACTATATAGCCATTAAGAATTATAAGACTTTAGAACATGTTGATCTCTGGAAATATGTTTATGAAATAATGTTAATTATAAATATGTGTTTTGTACAGATGTACATTCAAGCATTTTAATAGATTTATAAATCCTTGTGTATCATTTTGTGTTCAAACACAGCGTATTTCTTTTTTTAATCATACTTAAACAATTTATTTTTTATTTCAATAGTTTCTGAGGAACAGGTGGCTTTTTGTGACATGAACAAATTCTTTTGCAGTAATTTCTGAGATTTTGGTGTACCCATCACCAGAGCAGTGTACACTGTACTCAATACGTAGTATTTTACCCCTCACCCCACTTCCCCCTGGAGCCCCCAGACTCCACTATATCATTCTGATGCCTTTGTGTCCTCATAGCTTAGCTCCAGCTTATGAATGAGAACATATGTTTGGTTTTCCACTCTGAGTTATTTCACTTAGAATAATCATCTCTAATTCCATCCAGGTTGCTGAGAATGCCATTATTTTGTTCCTTTTTATGGCTGAGTAGTATTCTGTGGTATATATATACTATATTTTCTTTATCCACTCGTTGGTTGATGGACATTTAGGCTGGTTCCATATTTTTTGCAATTGTGAATTGCGCTGGTATAAACATGTGCAAACACAGTCTACTTCAGATTATATTTACATGTATAAATCTATTGATGTATATTAATGTACATTGACAAATAAATGTAAGGTGATGTTAACAGAATTTCATGTTTATTGAATTCTTTGGTTTTAAAACAAAGCAGCATTTCACAAAAATTATTCTATTTTATTATAAGCACTGCTTACAAACAAATTTGTTCAAAACAAATTTGGGGGTTTGGGGAATAGGTTAGGTAAAATGTTTTTACCATAGGAATTTTCAGAGCCTTTAATTTATTAACATACATTGTGGATCTCTAAAATGAAGAGATTTCTCTTATTGTTTATCTCAAAATCTACTATTTACATCACGACTTACATTTATTTTGTGTAAATAAATCTGCATAAATCTTATTTGCACTTGTTACTAATTTATCGTTTTCACCAAACTGTAACTTCTATCAGGACAGGTAAATATATCTGTCTTCTTCACCACTGTTCCTAGAGTGCCAGCCAGGGCATATAGAAGTGGCTCAATATTTTTGAAGTGAATGACTTGCTAGAGCAGCATTTAGGCAAACTAGTGCCTAAAGTCACACATTTTGGGAACTACCACTCTAAAGTTATTTAATTGTATAATAACTTCAAAGGAAAAAAATGTGTTAATGCCCCTAGGCCACTAGAGATCCATTTAATAATTATTGCTTCGCTTCAGTTGAGTCACTTACTACTTTAGGGAACAGAAGAGATTTCTCAGAGAGCACCTCATGACCTGGAAAAGTCTTGCAAAATCATTTTCATACTCTGCATCTCCAGCTGAAAAACAATGATAAAATTAGTTACCATGGAAGTTAAAGGAATCATGCTTTGCATTAACACCAACAGTCTTCTGGAACACATTTGGTAACATTAGATTTCCCATCAAAGATATTTGTTTATTTTAATAGTTCAAGCATGAAAAAGAGATATCCCTTTTGGAAGCTGCAAATTGTTGACTCACTGATTCTCATTTAGGAAAAGGGATTTCACATTACTTTATCTATTTTCTCAATAGTCAAAGCCCATGTTAAGAGAGCTTTTAAACATATTTAAAATATATGGCTTACCTACATGTTTTACATGATAATTTATGGTTATAGAAGTTAGAAAGTGCAATTTCTTTTAATATCCCCGTGGGGAAGTTATATAATTCTATAGTTTTTTAAAATATATGGAAAAGCAATATACTTTCCGTTAACTGCTAAGATTCATGAATTTTCTCCACAAGTTCTCCAGAGGAACTACTAGAAAAAACTCCACGAATCTCATTATTTGACAGTTTTGTTGAAGTGAAATTATTAAAATTGATATTAGATTTAATGACTTGTTTCCAGTAACCAAAATGGAAAGTATTCTACCAGCTGTCGATGGTTCCACACCCTGACACATCGTTAAAACCTTAGCTTCTGCCTAAACTTTAAACCTTAATAATATTTGGCGGTAGGGGAGGGGTTACATTTCAAGTCAAACAAAGGATGTATTTCCAAAGCAGCATTTACAAAGGTTAATCTGTGTATGGACTACAAAGGGGAAAGTGCAGTGCCCCAGTGATCGATCTAAGACCCCCCTCTCGTTGTTGTTGTTGTTGGGTTTTTTTGGTCTGGTTAATAAACCACCTAGAGGGATAATTTTTAAACTTAATTTGTTGAAATGGTACTTTACTAATGTATGAAAAAAATTTCCCCAAATTTGAGAATTTTTGGTAAGTTGATTTTATATTTGGGAATAAAGATCTCTTGCTTCTTCTACTGACACCTTCTACACAAAAGATAAAAGGTACTTTTACTTGGTAATCCGCAGGGAGAAAATTTACAGAAACCCAGAGCCAAAGGTGCTCTCAGGGGATCCCCTGAAACATTCAAAGCCATTGCGGCCCCAGAAGGTAAATGGCTTTCGCAGGAACACAGGTCTCCTGACTCACGGCCTAACCTTCCTTTCCCCCACACCAAAGCTCGCGCGGCACCAGCTAGAGTGAAGGTCAAAGTCAACAGAATAATCTCTGCAGTCCAGGGTCTGTGAGGGTCCTCCTATCCGAGGGAGTTTTCATGAAAGGGCATTTCCGAACATTTTATTCCAAGGACACAGTCTAGTCAAAAGACGTTTGGGATAGGGTAAACATGAGGCAAAAGAACACTTACAAAAGAAAAAAGCGCAGTTTCTTGGAGGCTTGTCAGAAGCTAAGACTGGGGAGATGAGAACCAGGGCCCTTGGCGAGAGTTGGGGTGGGAATCGCGTAAGAAAAGCAATTTCTAGAGCGGAAAGGTGACCCCACATTACAAAAAGAAATGGAGTAGAAAAATAGGCTTGACTATTCTAAAGCTGCTTCAGAAAGAATCTCCGGAAGACCACGGAGGAACCCCGCAGGGGAGCCAGGCGGATACTCAGCCGCTCGCGGTAGAAGGGCGCGCAAAGCTGCGGAGCCGCGTGTGTGGAGCTCCCCAGTGCACTCACTGCTGGCTCCCCCTCGGTGCTCTGGGCCCTTCCCAGCTCCCTCCACACAGCCCGGCTCCCTTCACACACCCCCGCCCCCTCCGAGCTCCCCGACTCCTCCCCGCGCTCCACGGCTCTTCCCGACTCCAGTCAGCGTTCCTCGGGCCCTCGGCGCCACGAGCTGTCCGGGCACGCAGCCCCTAGCGGCGCGTCGCTGCCAAGCCGGCCTCCGCGCGCCTCCCTCCTTCCTTCTCCCCTGGCTGTTCGCGATCCAGCTTGGGTAGGCGGGGAAGCAGCTGGAGTGCGACCGCCGCGGCAGCCACCCTGCAACCGCCAGTCGGAGGTGCAGTCCGTAGGCCCTGGCCCCCGGGTGGGCCCTTGGGGAGTCGGCGCCGCTCCCGGGGAGCTGCAAGGCTCGCCCCTGCCCGGCGTGGAGGGCGCGGGGGGCGCGGAGGTGAGCGGGTCGGGGAGGAGCGCGAAAGAAGGTAGCGGCGGCGGAGTTGAGGGTCAAGATGCAGTCTGCGCCACGCGCTGCATCCATCCTCCCCGATTCTGCGCCCTCACCGGGCGTCCGCCCTGAGCTGCGGGGTCCCTCATCTCCTGGCACCTTAAGGTGGAAAGTGAGAAGGGTGGAGAAGGGTGTCTGTTCCACTGATTCCCCCTCCTCCTCCTCTTGGTTCCTAGAGCTAAGGGCAAGTCCTGAGGTTGGGCCCAGGAGAAAGAAGGCAAGGAGACATTGTCCCAGGTAGGATGTGTCCCAGCAGGAAAGGACAGGCAGGTTACTTTCGCCCCCTTGATAGTCTCCCTGCTACTTTGGGTTGATGCAGGGCATTTCATGGAAGATCATGCAGTGCTGCTTTGCGAACAGGTATTTCTAGCAGTCATTTGGTTTATTTCCCAGTAATGTAATCGTGGTGTTTAGGCCATTTCTGTTAGAAAGTAATTGGCCTCTTCTTTGACTGTCCTAAATTATCTTTGAACCCTGTGTTCAGCCTCAGCCAAAACTTGTTGAAAATTATGCCCTAAAAATCTTGCTCTTAAAATAGAGCAGAGAGATAAAGAGCATTTTTGTTGGAAGATTTCCATTTATTATCTCTCCCACCCCGTGGAGAAGGATTGGTGTCAGTTTTTACTCCTCGGGCAGTTAGTTTTTTAGATGGAAAGACAGTCCAGGCCATAGTTAATTATCGCTCATCAGTATAGGAGAAAAAGAATTCAGACTCCTGCCCCACCCCCACCCCCACCCCCAACCTCCTGACTTAGATTCTGGTCCTTTTAACAGCCCCGCTGCTTGGAACCCTTTTTGTTTTCTAAACCACCTCCCCATCCTTCCTTTTCTCCACTTTATTATTTCTTCATTTTATTGATCTGTTTATTTTTTCTTTCTTTAACCCTATAATTTTTTTACTCCGATTCTCTCTTGGTTGCTTCAAAGCTTAGAGGCTATTTAATGGAAAAGCAAAACAAAACAAAACAAAACACCCGTCCTAAATAATTTGCAGGATGTTTAGAAACATAAAGAGTAACTATGTGTGCTGCCATTGGGATGGCTGCACTCTCTGCCTCTTAGCTAGTCACTCTGTCAGGGTATGGGGAAATGAGACAATATTGAGAATGACAACTTGAGCAAATTGTGCAGTAAGGAAATGAAAAGCTTTATCCAAGTCACTTTTTATTGTACTGGTGCTATGGAAAATGTGGTGAATGAACATAGTTGTATTTTAGTACTGAAAAAACAGGACAGGTGAAGACAAATTTTTAAAGAAAGGATTGTAAATGAGTTAGAAAAGTGAGAAAGAAGATACACCAAAAATGTGAAAGAGTAAGACTGCAGGCGTGATAAAGGACATAGGACATCAGGAGATGTATTTATCCCTGCTGGGCCAGAAACCAGGACATTGAGGTAACTGAGACATTAACATAACAATAACATTGATAAATCACCTACCCCTTAAGGGCCCACATGTGTTTTCAGCAAAAAGAGAAATCTGATCTAGAGAATTATTACATGTCTTTTTGTCCTGAATTTTTTTGATGTATTCCATAACAAAGAATTTTTATTGCATCCTTAGTTACACTGCCAGCCAATGTGGAGGCAGTGATCACGGACAAGACAAACATGGTTCTTCCCTCGTGCAGTTTATTGTCCAATGGGGGAAATAGTAAACAGTAAAGAAACAATTATATAAAATATTACAAAATAAATTTAACAAGGGCTGAGTGAATTATTCTGCTATAGAGATGGAACAGTATATGGAAAGCTCCCAAGGTACATAAAGTGGTTGTTGTTTTCTCTTTCTAGAAGAGAATGCTGTGGGTGGACAATATACAGATAAGGTTAGAGAGGGGAAGCGGGGACTAACTCATTCAGGACCTTTTACGTGATAGTCAGGAAGATGGCTGTAGTTCTAAGTACAAGGAGCACCGATTTTAAGGAGAGACATTTTATGACGATTTACATTTTAAGATGATTTTAGCTGCTGTGGAGATGTTTGGAAAGGGTCAAAAGAGAAAGTAGGCTGACCCATTAGGAAATGTTTGCAGAGTTCAGGTGAGATGATAGACACCTGGACTAGCCTGGTATTGGTGGAGAGGGATTTATGAAATATGTTGGAGAACAGGAATTGGTGCAGGATTTTATGTCAAAAGTGAGGGTCAGCAAGGACTTAAGAATGACTCCCAATTTTCTGATTGGAGCAACTGGTGGATAATGGTGGCATTTACACATTTCCAGGCGAATGGGACCAGCTCTGGGTGGAAAAAGTTCAGGTTTGAACCTGTGAAGTTTGAGATGTCACAGAAAGAGGTCATAACCATATCCCCTTGGGAAGCAAAAAGGGAGGCTCTCCAGGACATAAGTGGATAGACTGGTCTTTGATAGGTAAAATTGGTGATTGTTAATTTAAGGTGAAACTAATGAGCTCAGTTTTCTGGTTTTTCTCCAGCAACCTTCACCAACGTGGATACAGATACAGAGAAAATGGATAGCTGGGTCCAGGACTAGAGTTTTGCCAAGCAGATATGATGGAGAGTAAGAGAGCTGAGGATCTTTTTAAGGGAGTGACTACAAATCTAGCCTCGGTTTAAAGAGAAACCAGAGCAGGCTGAAGGAGAGTGCAGGATATTAAGCAATTAGAGAGGTAGAGGTCAACGGATCAGATTTCTTTTGCTGTTTAGAATTATCAGTGTGAATATTTAAACTAAGATTATTGGAAGTCCTGGAGACAGTGCTTGGAGATTTCAGGCAGTGAGTGACTGAGGTGGGGTAGAGGCAAAAATTCATTGTCTCCAATGAGTAAGTCAAGGAAATAAGAGCCCCTGAAGTTGAATGGTTCATCCACTTGAATGATAAAGTCCAGGAAAAACATGATAGCTATTAGGGTAGAGAGGATGACCATGTATATACTGGGAGCCAGAGTCTGCAGTCATAAGGAATAAACTAGAAGTCAGTAGAGGACAGCAGTGAGGACAGCAGTAAGGACAGGGAGAGGGTATGGTGAAGTACCATGAGCTTCAAAGGAGCTGGGTGTTTGCAGGAGAGACAATGAAGAAGAGATGTTCAGATGTGGGCTTACAAAGTGAAGATTACACCACCCCACCTCATGGCCCTGGAGAATTATGTTTTCTTGATAGCCTCTCCAAATCTGCAGGTTGTGAAATGTCATCAAAACCTCTGTGGACAGCCCTTTCAGAGTTGCTGTCATCCAATAATAAATGCCCTATTTATGTGTGAAACAAATTAGGTTCTATTTTTCAAAAGTAACATAGCACAACAGGTGCCATTCAGCTTCAGGAATGTTCAGGAAATCCTTCTAAACTGAAAACCTTAAGAGGCTGTCCAGCTGAATGTAACTGAATTCCCTATCAAAATAATACATTCTCAAGTATTAAATGTGTACAGCAAGTCAAATGCCCATTCAAGAAAACGATGTCATTGACACAGACTTTTAGATTGAGCTCCCGAAGTTGAAGTGTTAAATATAGGGTGGTGATATTACCATTATTACACAGCTTCAAGACTTATTTAGTGTTGGAAACTACCACCAGAGTCAAGTATAACCTATTTGTTTGCTGTTTAACAAAGGAAATTGAGACTCAGAGAATCAAAGTGATTGCAGAAGCTTAGGCCTGCTCTTTCACCCCTACACTATGAAGACAAAACTTTCTATAAATGACATAGTTGTTTTTTGTTTTTGTTTGTTTTTGTTTTTGTTTTGAGGCTGAGTCTCACTCTGTTGCCCAGGCTGGAGTCCAGTGGCGCGATCTTGGCTCCCTGGTTCAAGCGATTCTCCTTCCTCAGCCTCCCAAGTAGCTGGGATTACAGGCACCTGCCACCACCCCTGCCTAATTTTTGTGCCTTTTTAGTAAAGATGGGGTTTAATCATGTTGGCCAGTCTGATCTTGAACTCCTGACCTCAAGTGATCCACCTGCTTCGGCCTCCCAAAGTGCTGAGATTACAGACGTGAGCCACCATGCCCAGCCTATAAATGACATAGTTTTATCAGTTATTTAATTTGGATTCCTTATGAATAACTTCAAAAGAAAAGGTATAGACACTGTGGACATCACCTGGGAGCTTGTGAAAAAATGCAGAATGTCTAACCTCCCTCTAGACCTAAAGAATCTGAGTGTGCATTTTAAAGAGGTCCCCAGGTGATCATATTTGCATTAAAGTTTGACAAGTGCCTTTCTAGTGAGTCATTCCCTTGGAAACAGTGGTCTGCTCAGGTCAGCAGGATCATGATGCCTGGAGAACTGGGGAGGGGATCCCCTTGTAGAACAGAAAGAAGAGATACAGTCATGGAAATATTCCGAATTTTGAATATTATGAAACAACAGGAACAAAGTATGTTGTGCAAGGAGTGACGCATTTTAAGGAATGGCATTGCCTTTCCCAGAAAGTGAAGAGAGGAAATTGGAAAATTGTGAGTGGACCTTCTGATACTGCTCCTCCTTGCGTGGAAAAGGGGAAAGAACTGCATGCATATTATTCAGCGTCCTATATTCAAAGGTAACTACTACTCTTTCGCAAGTGTAATTTTTCATTACTACAAACAACAACGTAAAAATTAACATAAGTGAGGGTCAGAAAGCCACATCTACTATCGCCAAATGATGAAAGTATTAGATTGAATTCTGAATCTTTTACTAGAGTGATTTTCAATCTTGGTTGCATAATAAAACATCTGCTAATCTTTTTTAAAAAATGCTGTTGCTCAGGATGAACCCCAGAACAATTAAGTGAAAACTGGGTGGTAGGGGGGTGACCCGTCATCACTGTGTTTTAAAACTTGCCAGGTCATTGGAGAATGCACCTAGGGTTGAGAAATACTGCTTTAGTAGCTCATTCAGAAGCAGCTCTGAGATTGCAGTTCTGCTACTCCATGTGCCAAAACAGTGGGACTTTCCCTCACTACCATAAGCGTAGTGCCAAGCCAGGTCAGCAATATTCAGGTCACCCTCACTGGCCAGTTTTCAGAACATTGAGGGAAGTAGGATTTATTTCTTGAAGAAGCCTGCTTAGACTAACTTTTAAAACAAATTGATACATGTTACATATCTATGGGGTACACATGAGTATTTGTTATATCCATAGAATGTGTAATGATCTGGTTGGAGTTTTTGGGGAATCCATCACCTTGAGTATTTATCATATCTATGTGTTAAGAACATTTCAAGTCATCTCTTCTAGCTACTTTGAAATACACAGTACATTGTTACTGACTATAGGCAACCTACTTTGCTATTGAACATTAGAACTTACTTCTTCTAACTGTACATTTGTATCCATGAACCAACATCTCTTCCTCCCCTCCTCCCATCAACACATCCTTCCAGCCTCTGATATCTCTCATGCTATTCTCTACCTCCATGGGATCCACTTTTTTAGCTCCCACACATGAGTAAAAACATGTGATATTTGCCTTTCTGTGCCTGGGTTATTTCACTTAACATAATGGCCTCCACTCCTATCCATGTTGCTGCAAATGACACGATTTCATTTTTTAAGGCTGAATAATATTTCATTGTGTATACATACCACATTTTCTTTATCCATTTGTTGATGGACATGTAGATTGATTCCATATCCTTGCTAGTGTGAATAGTGCGCAAAAAAAAAAAAAAAAAAAAAACATGTGAGGACGGGTATCTCTTTGATATACTAATTTCTTTTCCTGTAGATAATACCCGGTAGTGAGATTACTGGATTGTATGGTAGTTCCATTTTTAGTCTTTTGAGAAACAACCCCTATACTGTTGTCCACAGAGGCTGTACTAATTTACATTTCCACCAATAACATATAAGGATTCCCTTTTCTCTGAATCGTTGTCAGCATCTGTCATTTTTCTCTTTTAATAATAGCAGTTCTAATTGGGATAAGTTGAAATCTCATTGTGGTTTTGATATGCATTTCTCTGGTGATTAGTGATGCTTAGCATTTTTTCATATACCTATTAACCATTTGTTTGTCTTCTTTGGAAAAATGTCTATTCATGACCTTTACCCATTTTTATGGGATTATGTGTTTTTTATTGTCAGTTGTTTGAGTTCCTTGTATATTCTGAATATTAGTCCCTTATCAGATTAATAGTTTGCAAATATTTTCTTCTATTCAATAGGTGGTCTCTTCATTCTGTTGATTGTTTCCTTTGCTGCACGGAAGTCTTTTAGTTTAATATAGTCCCATTTGTCTATTTTTTTGTTGTTGTTGCTGTGCTTTTGAGGTCCTAGCCATAAAATCTTTGCCTAGACCAATGTCTTCAAATATTTCCCCAATGTTTTCTTCTTGAAATGAGGGGTTTTGGGTCTTATGTTTAAGTCTTTAGTTGACCTTGCGTTGATTTTTGTATATGGTGAGGGACAGGGGTCCAGTTTTATTCTTCTGCATACAGATATCCAATTGTCTAAGTACCATATATTTGAAGAGGATATCCTTTCCTCAGTGTATGTTCTTGGTGCCTTTGTTGACAATCAGTTGGCTGTAAATGTGTGGATTTTTTTTGTGGATTATCTAATCTGTTGCATTCATTGATCTGTGCATTTGTTTTTATACCGGTACCATGTTTTTTCGGTTACTATTGCCTTGTAATATATTTTGAAGTCAGGTAGTGTGATGCCTTCAGCTTTGTTCTTTTTGCTTAGGATTGCTGTAGCTATTCAGGATATTTTTTGGTTCTATATGAATTTTAGGATTGTCTTTTCTAATTCTATGAAAAATCACATTGGTATTTTGATAGGGATTGCATTGAATCTGTGTATTGCTTTGGGCAGTATGGTCATTTTAATATTAATTCTTCCAATCCATAAGCATGGAATGTTTTTCCATTCGTTTATGTCATCTTTAATTTTTTTCTACAGTGCTTTGTAGTTTTCCTTGTAGCAAACTTTCACCTCCTTGGTTAAATATATTCCTAGTTGTTTTTTGTTTGTTTTTGTTTTTTTTATAGCTATTGTAAATGGGATTGCCTTCTTGGTGTCTTTTTCAGCAAGTTCATTGTTGGTGTATAGAAATGGTACTGATTTTTGTATGTCGATTTTGTATCCTGCAACTTTATTGAATTTATTTATCAGATCTAAGAGTTTTTGTGTGAAATCTTTAGGTTTATCTAGATCTAAGATCATATCATCAGCAAAGAGGGATAATTTGACCTTCCTCTTTTCCAGTTTGGGTACCTTTTATTCTTTCTCTTTCCTGGTTGCTCTGGCTAGGACTTCCAATATGATGTTGAATAGAAGTGGTGAAAGTGGCATCCTTGTCTTGTTTCTGTTCATAGAGGAAAGGCTTTGAGCTTTTCCCCATTTCAAAATAATGATAGCTATATTATTATTATATAGATCATATAAGCCCTTATTATGTGAAGCATATTTTTTCTATCCCTAGTTTGTTGCAAGTTTTATCATGAGGGGATGCTAAATTTTCTCAAATGTTTTTTCTGCATCTATTGAGATGATCATATGGTTATTGTCCTTCATTCTCTTCAGGTGATGTATCACAGTTGTTGATTTGCATATGTTGAACCATCCTTGTATCCCTGGGATGCATTCCTGGAATAAATCCCCTTTGATCATGATGTGTGTGTGTTTTTTTTATGAGTTGTTAGATTTGGTTTGCTTCTACAGACACACACGCGCGCACACACACAATTTTTAGGAGACAGGGTCTTGCTCTGTTGCCCAGGAGGGAGTGCGGTTATGCAATCATAAATCACTGCAGCCTTCAACTTCTGGGCTCAGGTGATTCTTCTGCCTCAGCTCCCGAGTACTAGGACTTCAGGTGTGTACCACCACACCTAGCTATTGTTTAAATTTTTTGTAGAGACGAGGGTCTCATTATGTTGCCCAGGCTGGGCTTAAACTCCTGGCTTCAATCCATCCTCCTGCATTGGCCTCCCAAAGTGCTGGGATTACAGGCATAAGCCATCATGTCTGGCCCTTGGTTTGCTAGTATTTTGTTGAGAGTTTTTGTATCTGTGCTCATCAGGAATAATAGTATGTAGTTTTCTTTTTTGTTGAGCCTTGTTTGCTTTTGGTGTGAAGATAATGCTGACCTCATAGAATGAGTTAGGCAGAATTCCCTCCTGTTTAATGTTTTGGAAGAGTTTGAAGAGAATTGGTGTTAGGTCTGTTTTGAAAGTTTGGTAGAATTCGGCAGTGAAGCCATCTGGCCCTGGACTTTTCTTTGTTGGGAGTTTTTTAATTACTGCCTCAACTTTTTTTGTTACTGGTCTGTCCAGGTTTTCCATTTCTTCCCATTTCAATCTTGGTAGCTTGTATATGTGTAGCAGTTTATCCATTTCCTCTAGGTTTTCCAGTTTGTTGGTGTATAGTTGTTCATAATAGCTTCTCATGATCTTATGTATTTCTGTGGTATCAATTGTAATGTTTCCTTTTCCATTTCTGATTTTTTATTGGAGTATTTCCTCTTTTTTCTTGGTTAGTCTAGCAAGTGCTTTATCAATTTTATCTTTTCAAAAAACAAAACTTTTTGTTTCATCCATCCTTTGTATTGTTTTTTAAGTCCCAATTTGTCTAGTTCTGCTCTGATCTTTATTATTACTTTCCTTTTACCAATTTGGGGTTTGGCTTGTTTTTGCTTTTCTAGTTCCTTGAGGTACATCATTAAGTTGTTTATTTGAAATCGTAATGATTTTTTGGTGTAGGTGCTTGTTGATATAAGCTTCCATCTTAGCACTGCTTTTGCTGTATCTCATGGGTTTCAGTGTGTTGTGTTTTTATTTTTATTTGTTGAGGGAAATTTTTTGATTTCTTCCTTAATTTATTCTTTGCCCCCGTAGTCATTTAGGAGCATGTTGTTTAATCATTTATTTTTACAGTTTCAAAAGTTCCTCATGTTGTTGACTTCTAGTTTTATTCCATTGTGGTCTGAGGAAGTACTTGATATGACTTCGATTTTTAAAAAATTTGTTGAATCTTATTTTGTGTTCTAACATGGTCATTCCTAGAGAATGTCTATGTGCTGATGAGAATTTGTATTCTGTAACTGTTGTATAAAATGTTCTGTGAATGTTTGTTAGGTCCATTTGGTCTAACGTATAGTTTAAATTCAATGTTTCTTTGTTAATTTTCTGTCTAGATTATCTGTCAGATGCTGGCAGGCGGTGTTGAAGTCCCCAAATGTTGTTGTATTGGCGTCTGTTTCTCCTTTTAGATCTGATAACACTTTATTTATATTAATATATCTGAGTGGTCTGTTGTTGGGTGTATATATGTTTAGAATTGTTATATCCTCTTGCTAGAATTTATCTATTATCATTATATAATGACCTTCATTGTCTCTTTATACTGTTTTTGACTCAAACTGTTTTATTTGATATAAGTATAGTGACTTTTGGTTTCCATTTGCATGGACTATCTTTCTCCATCCCTTTGCTTTCAGTCTTATATGTGTTTTTATATGTTAGATGGGTTTCTTGTACCCAGCATATACTTGGGTTATGATTTTTTATCTATTACTAGTCCATATCTTTTCAGTGGAAAGTTTAATCCATTTGCATTCAAAGTTATTCAACAATGAAAACTTCCCAAGTCTAGTGAGAGATGTAGACACCCGGATACAGGTAACTTAGAGATCTCCAAACAGATACAATACAAGAAGGTCTTCCCCACAGCACATTATAGTCATATTGTCAAAAGTAAAAGACAAAGAGTGAATTCTAAAAACAGCAAGAGAATGACCAGTCACCTATAAAGGAACTCCCAGCAAAATAAAATTTTTACCTGTTCACATTCTGATTTACAGAAGGGATTTGAACTTGCTTTGTAAAATAAGCAGATAATTAATGTTGTTTTGTTTTTGTTTCTGTTTGAAAAAGTCTTGATCATCATGAGTGTTAGATTTAAAGATTTTGCAATTCTTATATTTTGGGAGATGCTGCAGTATATACTCAGAAGAACTCCAGGCTGGGATATAGGAAACTTGGATTCCCTTGTGTGAATCTAGCAACCTTTTTCACCCTTAGATAATGCTCATGATTACCATTAACTTTCGAATGAAGTGAGCATGGATTTCATTACTTCTGGTTTTTTTAACCACTCCTGATTCCCAGCATAGCTAGTGACATCTCCAAATGGATATTGACAGGTTTTTTTCCTACCCTGGTACCTCTGACTCCTGCCTGCCTTTCTGGGTGCATGGACCACACCAAGGGAGTGGTCTATCTTGAAAGGTGTGAAATGAAACATGTAATTGATTTAAAAATAGTAAATGTTCTTCTTTCCCAGGATCGGGTGCTCCTAGGTAACTCTGAGGAGCAATGAAATGACCAAAGAAAAAGGAATAATATACTACTTTGAGTACAACTGTAATTGTTACACCTTGATACTTATAACCCCCCAAAAACACCCTTTCCTAAACTCCTTACATGCACCTAAATAACACATGTCTTAGCTGGACAACTACCTGGCTTCCCTATTTTCTGTCTTTATGTCCTTGGATAAATTAATTATCTTCTGCAGGTCTCAGTTTCCTCATCTACAAAGTGGGTATGACAGTATTAGCACCTGTCTCTTAGGGTGGTTGTGGGGATTCAATCAGTTAATACATAAAAACCACAAGAGAGCTGAAATACATTATGTCCTATATAAGCATTAAGTAATATTACTATAATTATTGTCTTTCTAAAGTTTAACATACTGATGTATTTGGAGTTACTGGATGTGACTCATTTCTAGGGTAAAAAGTTGAATTTTCCTGGCTGTAGTCATTTCAAATTTCATTTAGTAAAAACCCCAACTTTTTTTTGAAACATTCCACCTGTGCCTGTAAAGTCCATTAAATCCTCTGAAATGGTCCACATCTGCTATGAGCATAGAAGAAATTGTGCAATGAGGGTAGAATGGAAGAGTATTTTTCTTTCAGACCCAATTTCGACACTAATTCATGGCAACCTGATTTGTATTCTTGAGCAAATTATTCCAAATATGAACATTTCAGATGCTAGTCTCTCAACTAAAAAATAATTTGAGAGATTTTTCCAGGAAGAATAACTGCATCATAGTTTATGCAGCCAACAAATGAAAGGGTGTCATGTTGCGGTCCAAAGGGCGTGGGTGGATGAGCAGAAAGAATACTTGAAGGGCTGTAGGCAGGTGAAAGATGATTTTATTCAACAGCAGCTCTGATCAACAACTTTCTCACACTGTCCATCCTGTCTCAGCTGCTTAGTCTGGTGGCTCCCACACACACAGCTCCCTTGCCTTCAGGGTCAGCAGCTTAACTATTTCTCTCTCTGGGCATGGGCAAGCCAAGCTGGGTCCTGACTCCCCCATCTGTCTGCAAAGACAGACAGCTCTGACTCTCTGTCTCTGAGCACAAGAGTGCCTCTACAGTGTCCACAGGGCAATTATACCTTTTACAGACAATAGTGGCTTAGAGCCAAGTGATGAGTTTTCCCTATGTCATAGCGATGGTGGTGAGCTTCTGTTATGTCTACATGGCTATGATAACAAGTAACAAGTGAAGTTATATGCTTGCGCTCTGAACTCACTCACTCTGGATGTTTACCTCTGCCTGTCCTTGACCAAAGCACAGCCATGTTCTTTACAAAGGGGAAGAAAAAGATTTCATACATATTATATAATTTAAGATCATAAACATGTTACTAATCCTTTTTCCATAGGTAAGCTATCTTTCTCAATGATACATTGTAAGATGTAGGGTGAATGATAGAAGTCCATGGTATTTACTCTTTTGTTATATTTTGATGCCTATTTTTCTTAAGATATTATTTAAGTGCCAGGATTCATTGTTAGCTAATTTGTCTAGCTCTCATTTAATGATAAAGTCACTAGCTACTGAAGTATATAGGGAACTTTATAACCTCTACCCCAAATGACTTTAGACAGTTTTGGTTTAAATGGCTTTTTAAAAAATGGTTTTTCTTTCTTCTCTTGTCTTGTGAGCCATCACTTAGTATCACAGTCCTCTCTGCCTCCAGCAGCATTTGTGATTTGCTGCCTCTGATCTGCTCAAAAGCTGGGTAATCATACTTGTTACAAGTGTGTTTTTCCAAAAAGTTCTGAGTGAAAACCTCAGTCCCTTTTTTCATGTGCTCTAGTGAGGTAGGAGGCAGAACTTGAATCCAGAGGCAAGGTTCAGACACTGGACCAAACTGAGGTCAGGGCAGAAGCACCTCCCCATAAGACATGCCCATCAGTGTGCCATGTCAGTTCACTATTGCCATGGCAACACCTAGAAGTTACCACCCCTTTCCATGGCAACAGCCCAACAACCCAGAAATTACCACCCTCATCCTAGAAATTTCTGCATAAATCACCCCTTAATTTGCATATAAATCAAGTAGGTTTAAATATGACTGCAGAGCTGCCACTGAGCTGCTACTCTAGGCACACTGCCTACGGGGTAGGCCTGCTCTGCAAGGAGCAGTACCTCTGCTGTTGCTGTAAACTGTTGCTTCAATAAACGTTGCTGTTTAACACCACCAGCTCGCCCTTGAATTCTTTCCCATGCAAAGCCAAGTAGTCTCCTGGGCTAAGCCCCCATTTGGGGGCTTTCCTGTCCTGCATCACTAGTGCCTTGCTGCTCAAAGAGGGGTCTCAGACCAGCATTGGTATTGCTTTCATTAGAAATGCAGAATGTTGAGCCTCCCTCCAGAACTACTCAATCAGAATCTACATTTTAACGAGATTCCGAAGTGATCTGTGTGCACATTAAAATTTGAGAAGCCCCACTTTAGCACCTCACCTTTGTGACAGTTAATTTTCCTATTGAGATGCTTTTTTAAAAGCCAAAAGATTTATGAAGAGAAACCAGAATAGTGATCCTTTTTTAGCTTACAAATTGTGTCTTACTGTGCTGTATGTTAAAGTGTGGTGAAATATTTTACCTCTAGAAAGACAGGACATTACAATGTCTAGAAGTGTTTTAATGTTCAGTAATAGGTAACTGATGACCATTTTATTTTCTCTCCCCTAGGATATTCTTGGTGATCTTGGAAGTGTCCGTATCATGGAATCAATCTCTATGATGGGAAGCCCTAAGAGCCTTAGTGAAACTTTTTTACCTAATGGCATAAATGGTATCAAAGATGCAAGGAAGGTCACTGTAGGTGTGATTGGAAGTGGAGATTTTGCCAAATCCTTGACCATTCGACTTATTAGATGCGGCTATCATGTGGTCATAGGAAGTAGAAATCCTAAGTTTGCTTCTGAATTTTTTCCTCATGTGGTAGATGTCACTCATCATGAAGATGCTCTCACAAAAACAAATATAATATTTGTTGCTATACACAGAGAACATTATACCTCCCTGTGGGACCTGAGACATCTGCTTGTGGGTAAAATCCTGATTGATGTGAGCAATAACATGAGGATAAACCAGTACCCAGAATCCAATGCTGAATATTTGGCTTCATTATTCCCAGATTCTTTGATTGTCAAAGGATTTAATGTTGTCTCAGCTTGGGCACTTCAGTTAGGACCTAAGGATGCCAGCCGGCAGGTATGTATTTTACATTTTTATTCTTATGTATCTGGTATTTTGTAGTTAAACAACTAAGCAAATATCAAACATTTTAATACCAAACTCTGACACTTTCCAATGATTATCATTTGAAAATTAATTATGAGCACCTGAAGATTAATGTCCTGACCTTGTAAGGGCACATTCCCATTCCCAACATGATGTGGAAAACTGGGAAAATAACGTGAAAGTCATCCAGTTCAACTTGAGAATAAAGCAGATGGGGCACTCTGTCAACACCATTGTGGAACAAGCTTTTATAAGTAAACACATAAAATATGTTTTAAAAATCTTTTAAATGTGCTTATGCATTACAATTAAGCATGATTATAAAACACTTTTATTGTTTTTGTCCATAAAGACAGTTGATTAGATTCCTTAGAAAATAAGTTTCAGTATTATATCATTGTATGCTGTATATCAGTCATGATAACCATTTACTTTCCAGTCTTTATTTTAATGACTGGTAAAAGAACATAGGCTCTTCTACAGGCTATTTCTGAATCCTTTTTTCTCTTTTGCATATCCACCAAAGTTTAGCAGTGGATATAGAATAAGCAAATTAGAACCAGGACCTGTGAGACAAACCTGAATTTAATAATATGCCCATATTTATGCCAATTTTAAATTTTTAACAGAAAAAAATGTGGAACAGTGATTAAATTCCAAATGAGCTACAGAAATAGTCTAAATTTGTATTATGTAGCATTTGTGCCTTTATTTTGAGTGTTTGGTTTATTTTTAGACTTATTATACCGTATTATAATTTATACAAAATTTTTTCCAAATGAGTTTTTAAAAAAGTTTATTCCACCATTGTCACAACTGTAATAAATTAATTTAGAATACTTTTTTCTTATTTGTGTTATAAAAGGACCTCTATTTTAAAAGTTCATAAATGATTATATAATATTCATTCAAATAGGATTTGTCATTCATCTGGCTAATGTTATCCAAGATTAATAATCCAAAGAGTGTTATATTGTCACCATTATGTAAATAGAAACATGCAAATATTTCTATGTGGTCTATTTTAGAGTCCTTATACAAACATCTTCAGGGATATATTTAGGAATTTGTTTTCCCCAAACATTACTTGGAGACTCTGTAGCAATATTTTTCTAGCCCTGAATGAGGTGGCCTACCCATTAGTAATAGTAGCTCACTCCAGTAATGAACTTGGTGCTCAATAAATACTTGTTGTTGTAGGCTTTCAAACTATTGAAATCTGTTAGATACTATAATATAGCTGAAAATTCAACAAGTATTTATTCCTCAAGGTCATCACAGGTGATGGTCCGTAAGTGGAGCATGCGATTGCTACCATTTTTATAAACAACAATGGTAATGCTGAGTCTTTTTGTTTTTTCCACAGGTTTATATATGCAGCAACAATATTCAAGCGCGACAACAGGTTATTGAACTTGCCCGCCAGTTGAATTTCATTCCCATTGACTTGGGATCCTTATCATCAGCCAGAGAGATTGAAAATTTACCCCTACGACTCTTTACTCTCTGGAGAGGGCCAGTGGTGGTAGCTATAAGCTTGGCCACATTTTTTTTCCTTTATTCCTTTGTCAGAGATGTGATTCATCCATATGCTAGAAACCAACAGAGTGACTTTTACAAAATTCCTATAGAGATTGTGAATAAAACCTTACCTATAGTTGCCATTACTTTGCTCTCCCTAGTATACCTCGCAGGTCTTCTGGCAGCTGCTTATCAACTTTATTACGGCACCAAGTATAGGAGATTTCCACCTTGGTTGGAAACCTGGTTACAGTGTAGAAAACAGCTTGGATTACTAAGTTTTTTCTTCGCTATGGTCCATGTTGCCTACAGCCTCTGCTTACCGATGAGAAGGTCAGAGAGATATTTGTTTCTCAACATGGCTTATCAGCAGGTACTGAATGTGCTTGTTATTTATCTGATGCTAGTAAAATACTTTTTATTAGTATAAATTGTAAAACATAAAATTTTACATGCCCTGTAATGGAAATTTGATTTTGGTATACTGCGGGAGGGGAAAGAATTGTTCTTTAAACAATGTTTTTGCAAAATAATTAGGTGGCTAATTCAAAATTATTTAAGTAAAGGCTGCTACCATCCTTTTCCATACAGAATAAAAGCAGAAAAATAGAGGGTTGGGTTCTCCCCCTTTTTCAATGTTATAATTGCAATGAGTGCTTTCAGTATTCAACAATTCATTATTTTAATGTTTTATAATTGGCTGTGCTCCACAAAATGATGAGGCAATTCTCAGTAAATATATACAATAAAATTAGAACCAGTAAAAATACAAAACAGAACAGGAAGACAAGATCAGGAGAAAAAAGTCGAATACACCTCTGCTAAGAGTGTCTCCACAGCTTCTCTTTTGGCTTTGAGATTTTCAATACAATGAGAAGGGAGACCCTATTATTTACAAAGCTCTTGTTATCAAAAACCAGAAAAGATAATAGTTCCACAGGTGAAGCTTTTCTAGCACTTAGCTCTAAAAAAAAAAATCTCAGGGAGCACTTCATGGAAGGGGTTTGATTATGAGGTAGACTATGGTTTTCCTCCATAATTCCCAATCCACAAATGTAATTTAAGGGGTTTCCCTGAAGCTGTTTGGTGTAGCATTTCTCCATGAAAGCCAAGAACATTGCACCAAAACAAATGTGTAAAAGCATCTGCATTTTGTAAGGATCGAAGGCATCATAGTCCAAGTATGTGGCATCTAGTACTTAAGCTTGTTTCAACAATAAAACCTAAAATAATATTTTTCTAATTAGTAGATTGATAACCTTTAAACCATTCACTCCCTGAAAAAAAACTTCTCTTAATGGGATACTAAGGCTTTTATTGTTGCTCAGTCAGCTCCCTTGCCTCCTTCCAGTCATTTGCCCAGATCTCACCTTCTCAGCGAGTCCTATGCTGGATACCATCTTAAATGCCGCTGCCTCTGCCCCAACCAGTATTCCCAATCCTTCTGACTTACCCTGCTCTACCTTTCTTTTTTTAATAACACTTACCATCTTCTAACACACTTGATTTCCATGTTAAAAATACATTTACCAGTGTCTGCCTTCCCCCAACAGAAAGTAAGTTCATGAGAAGAGGGATCTTTGTCTATCTTTTTCACTGATGCATACCCAGTGCCTAGATTTGAGCCTAGACATTGTGGACACTCAAACAGCCCATTTGTGGATGAATGAATGAACTGGGAGAGCAGGTAGATCCAGGTTGTAGTCTCCGAGTACACTGGGTAGTGCTGTTTTTCTGTATTGTATAGATATCAAATAAGAAGATGGTAAGAACTCTGTGGCCTCTTTCAAGATGATGGTATGATTGCCTTAGGGAACTAATAGCTAAGAAGCAGCTTTTCGTTGTTAAATTTCAAGTATGTTTTGTTAACTGGAATTGGACAAAGTTAAACTGTTGTTAAGTTAGAATCTGTTTTCCATTAATAGATACTTATTTAAATCAAAAATTTCAGCTGAAGGAGTCCAATACTTGATTTATACTCTAATTATATTCTGAATGTAAATAGAACTTCTAAAGGTAGTCCCTACACAAAATACCACAAATTCAGAGTTCACCGTCTGACTTGATTATATACACATTATCAATGTAAGGAAAAGACATTTGGAAAAAATACTGCATATAAATGACACAATTGGATAGTTGGGGATCATATTAAATGAGGCAGTTCAAGTGGATAAATGAGCTCCATTGGCCTTTATAGCTAGGGAAATCACAGCTTTCTAGGAAGAGAAGATGAGAAGAAAGATAAAACAGAGATATATTATTCATGTGATGGAAGAAGATACTGACATAGTTTAGAAATTCCCTGACCGGATCCAAGTTGAACTAAGGCCAGACTATATCCCAGATATTCAACCAAGTTTAAACCAGCTTGTAATAGTACTTCAAAACTAAGTTTAACTGTCAGTAACTTCTTTTGTGTCACCCTAGAACCAACTACTAGGTATTTTATGGTGTTGGATTCCAGAGTCCCTGTAATGATGATGGCAAAGCTTTGCCCCTCTATTCTAGCACGTATACAAGGAAAGAGAAAGTTTTGTCCTCCTTTTGTTTAATTCTCTTTTCCCTTACACCTGGAGCAGTATCATCCAGTAACAGGTTCTCTGTAATGGTTTGTTAGACTAAATTAGTACAACTTAAATACGTCCATATATGACCAGGTTCTTCTTATGCCAAGAGTGAACTCTGTGCTGAATCAGTTAATGTTCTACTAAATAAAGGAAATTCACATTCGCTTTCTTGTTAGGTTCATGCAAATATTGAAAACTCTTGGAATGAGGAAGAAGTTTGGAGAATTGAAATGTATATCTCCTTTGGCATAATGAGCCTTGGCTTACTTTCCCTCCTGGCAGTCACTTCTATCCCTTCAGTGAGCAATGCTTTAAACTGGAGAGAATTCAGTTTTATTCAGGTATGTGGGGTTTTGTTTGGTGAAGGATTGTGCAGGATAGGATTTCCTTGTTAAGAACAACTGCATTTTAAATATGTTCCTTATTAAAAGGGTGCCTTTGAGGCTGTATTTATGCATCTAGATACATTATGCTGGAAGCCAGCTTAGGATTGCTCTGGTTAAATAAGTGAAAGACCAGTCAGTATATGATTGTACTGGAAGACTTTGACAGCACTGCCTTCCAGTATACTATGTTAAGAACAAAAAAGTTATCTTAAAAGAGAAAAAAAAAATGAAAGTTGGGAAGGATGAGCTTAGATCAAATTTAATGTTGAAAGTCAATTTATTATTAGCCAAGTGAATGAAAAATTATTTTATGTTTTGAGTCATCTTGATTTGTCCAGAAAAATCTTATTAATTTGAACTCAAGTGGGGATGTCAATCTGAATATTTTAAAGAAATGTGTGTATATATACACACACATACAAACACAAGCAGTGGCAAACTAGGTAACTAGAGTAATGGATTATAACATGCAACCAGCCTTAAGAATTTTGTTAGTATATCAGTAGTATACTAATACGTATGGATGTCTGTAAAGGGATTTCAAACCACCATTGTATTCTTTAATAAGTTAAACATTCACCTTCTCCAATAATATCTAAATAATAAGGTTGCATATTTTAAAAATATATAACTGAAACATAGACCCTTCCTATATTTTCACAAAATCTGTACTGGTTGTATCCAAATGGTTTACAGCATAGTAGACAGATTCATGTCCTTTGGTGGTACACTTAAGTTTTGTTTCAATTCATTGCTTATTTGCTTGTTTTTTTTTTTAAGGTCCTGTAAAAATCTCATTCAAAGCAGGGCCAAAATGCTTATCTGAATTTATTTTTCCTTTTTGAAGAAAAGGGAGAGTACTTTCCCAACAGCTAGTTTAATCATACCCGAAAAGAAATAGAAGGTTCTAGACAGATGCAAATTATCATTATAAATTTAGATGAGTAATTGCAAATATTTTGCCTGCTGGAGGGTTGATATTTTCCAGTAAAGTTAGACATTACATCACTATACTGATGTAATATTACTTTTATATAACAGACTATTCTTCAAAGTAAGCACTCTTAAACATAATAATTTAGCGAACTAAAGAATGATGAGCTTTTAGAATTTAAACTGTAAAGTGCCTAACTGAAGTATTCTTAATAAACTCTATATTTTAATTGTTGTTTATATTAATACTGCAGGATTTTTCATATTTGCCTATTAACCAGTGTGTATATATGTGTGTGTGCCCATGAGGATGCTCATTTAATTTTAATTTAATTTAATTAATTTTAATAATTTTAAATTAGTTTATTTAATTTTATCATATGTCTGTTTATGTATTAACAGTGATGTGTTACCTAACAGTAGGGAACGTTCTGAGCAATGAGTCGTTAGGCAGTTTTATCATGTGAACATCATAGAGCATATTTATACAAACCATGACCTATTGCTCCCAGGCTACAAACCTGTACAGCATGTTACTGTACTGAATATTACAGGCACTTGTAACACAATGGTAAATATTTGTGTATCTAAACATATCTAAACAGAGAAAAGGTACAGTAAAAATAAGGCATATAATCTTATGGGACCACCGTTGTATATGCAGTCCATAGTTGACCAAAATGCCCTTATGTGGCACATGACTATATTTATGTGTATGTGTATACACACACACATACATACACATTTCTTTAATACACAACTGGTGGGAATGTGAATAATTTTTATAAAGAAGAGTCTAGCAGTATGTATCAGTACCCTTAAGGAAAAGCTAGATGTTTTGACCAATAATCCTACTATTAGAAACCAGTCCTAAGAAAATAAATCAAAATATGGAAAATGGCCTAACATGACATTTATAGTTGAGGAAAGTTGGAAACAGTGAATTATCAACAAAAAGGAATGGTTTAATAAATTATGCACATCCATTCAATAGAATATTATACAGTATTAATGTCATTTTCATATTTAATGACATGAGGAAAATGTTCTTGATAAAATAAATGAAGTAGTAAGAATATTAAACTGTATGCAGTAGGGCCTTATTTGTGTAACATAAGGTGTGCATATAAATAATACATATATATGCATATATAAAAATATTAATATTATTTAATTCAGTAGAGGACAAAGGTTAACTTGATAATTTAAGACAAAATAGTTTTATCAAAATATAAACATGGTGTATCTTGATAGTTTAATTTATGAGTTTCAGTCATTTGTTTCTTATTCTTTGTTTCTTTTCCTTCCTCTCCTGGCCCAAGTCTACACTTGGATATGTCGCTCTGCTCATAAGTACTTTCCATGTTTTAATTTATGGATGGAAACGAGCTTTTGAGGAAGAGTACTACAGATTTTATACACCACCAAACTTTGTTCTTGCTCTTGTTTTGCCCTCAATTGTAATTCTGGGTAAGATTATTTTATTCCTTCCATGTATAAGCCGAAAGCTAAAACGAATTAAAAAAGGCTGGGAAAAGAGCCAATTTCTGGAAGAAGGTATGGGAGGAACAATTCCTCATGTCTCCCCGGAGAGGGTCACAGTAATGTGATGACAAATGGTGTTCACAGCTGCCATATAAAGTTCTACTCATGCCATTATTTTTATGACTTCTACGTTCAGTTACAAGTATGCTGTCAAATTATCGTGGGTTGAAACTTGTTAAATGAGATTTCAACTGACTTAGTGATAGAGTTTTCTTCAAGTTAATTTTCACAAATGTCATGTTTGCCAATATGAATTTTTCTAGTCAACATATTATTGTAATTTAGGTATGTTTTGTTTTGTTTTGCACAACTGTAACCCTGTTGTTACTTTATATTTCATAATCAGGCAAAAATACTTACAGTTAATAATATAGATATAATGTTAAAAACAATTTGCAAACCAGCAGAATTTTAAGCTTTTAAAATAATTCAATGGATATACATTTTTTTCTGAAGATTAAGATTTTAATTATTCAACTTAAAAAGTAGAAATGCATTATTATACATTTTTTTAAGAAAGGACACGTTATGTTAGCATCTAGGTAAGGCTGCATGATAGCATTCCTATATTTCTCTCATAAAATAGGATTTGAAGGATGAAATTAATTGTATGAAGCAATGTGATTATATGAAGAGACACAAATTAAAAAGACAAATTAAACCTGAAATTATATTTAAAATATATTTGAGACATGAAATACATACTGATAATACATACCTCATGAAAGATTTTATTCTTTATTGTGTTACAGAGCAGTTTCATTTTCATATTAATATACTGATCAGGAAGAGGATTCAGTAACATTTGGCTTCCAAAACTGCTATCTCTAATACGGTACCAATCCTAGGAACTGTATACTAGTTCCTACTTAGAACAAAAGTATCAAGTTTGCACACAAGTAATCTGCCAGCTGACCTTTGTCGCACCTTAACCAGTCACCACTTGCTATGGTATAGGATTATACTGATGTTCTTTGAGGGATTCTGATGTGCTAGGCATGGTTCTAAGTACTTTACTTGTATTATCCCATTTAATACTTAGAACAACCCCGTGAGATAAGTAGTTATTATCCTCATTTTACACATGAGGGACCGAAGGATAGAAAAGTTATTTTTCAAAGGTCTTGCAGTTAATAAATGGCAGAGTGAGCATTCAAGTCCAGGTAGTCATATTCCAGAGGCCACGGTTTTAACCACTAGGCTCTAGAGCTCCCGCCGCGCCCCTATGCATTATGTTCACAATGCCAATCTAGATGCTTCCTCTTTTGTATAAAGTCACTGACATTCTTTAGAGTGGGTTGGGTGCATCCAAAAATGTATAAAAATATTATTATAATAAACTTATTACTGCTTGTAGGGTAATTCACAGTTACTTACCCTATTCTTGCTTGGAACATGAGCCTGGAGACCCATGGCAGTCCATATGCCTCCCTATGCAGTGAAGGGCCCTAGCAGTGTTAACAAATTGCTGAGATCCCACGGAGTCTTTCAAAAATCTCTGTAGAGTTAGTCTTCTCCTTTTCTCTTCCTGAGAAGTTCTCCTGCCTGCATAACCATTCATTAGGGAGTACTTTACAAGCATGAAGGATATTAGGGTAAGTGGCTAATTATAAATCTACTCTAGAGACATATAATCATACAGATTATTCATAAAATTTTTCAGTGCTGTCCTTCCACATTTAATTGCATTTTGCTCAAACTGTAGAATGCCCTACATTCCCCCCACCCCAATTTGCTATTTCCTTATTAAAATAGAAAATTATAGGCAAGATACAATTATATGCGTTCCTCTTCCTGAAATTATAACATTTCTAAACTTACCCACGTAGGTACTACTGAATCCAACTGCCAACAATAAAAAGACTTTTATTTAGTAGAGGCTACCTTTCCCACCAGTGACTCTTTTTCTACAACTGCCTTGTCAGTTTGGTAATTCACTTATGATTTTCTAATGTTCTCTTGGTGAATTTTATTATCTTGTACCCTCTTTTTTTTTTTTTTTTTTTTTAAAGACAGAGTCTTGCTCTGTCACCCAGGCTGGAGTGCAGTGGCACGATCTCGGCTCACTGCAAGCTCTGCCTCCCGGGTTCACGCCATTCTCCTGCCTCAGCCTCCCGAGTAGCTGGGACTACAGGTGCCCGCCACCATGCCCGGCTGATTTCTTTTTGTATTTTTAGTAGAGACGGAGTTTCACCGTGTTAGCCAGGATGGTCTCGATCTCCTGACCTCGTGATCCGCCCGCCTTGGCCTCCAAAGTGCTGGGATTACAGGTGTGAGCTACCGCGCCCGGCCTATTATCTTGTACTTTCTAACTGAGCCCTCTATTTTCTTTATTTTAATAATATTTCTCCCCACTTGAGAATCACTTGTTAGTTCTTGGTAGGAATTCAGTTGGGCAATGATAACTTTTATGGGCAAAAACATTCTATTATAGTGAACTAATGAAAATAACAGCGTATTTTCAATATTTTCTTATTCCTTAAATTCCACTCTTTTAACACTATGCTTAACCACTTAATGTGATGAAATATTCCTAAAAGTTAAATGACTATTAAAGCATATATTGTTGCATGTATATATTAAGTAGCCGATACTCTAAATAAAAATACCACTGTTACAGATAAATGGGGCCTTTAAAAATATGAAAAACAAACTTGTGAAAATGTATAAAAGATGCATCTGTTGTTTCAAATGGCACTATCTTCTTTTCAGTACTACAAAAACAGAATAATTTTGAAGTTTTAGAATAAATGTAATATATTTACTATAATTCTAAATGTTTAAATGCTTTTCTAAAAATGCAAAACTATGATGTTTAGTTGCTTTATTTTACCTCTATGTGATTATTTTTCTTAATTGTTATTTTTTATAATCATTATTTTTCTGAACCATTCTTCTGGCCTCAGAAGTAGGACTGAATTCTACTATTGCTAGGTGTGAGAAAGTGGTGGTGAGAACCTTAGAGCAGTGGAGATTTGCTACCTGGTCTGTGTTTTGAGAAGTGCCCCTTAGAAAGTTAAAAGAATGTAGAAAAGATACTCAGTCTTAATCCTATGCAAAAAAAAAAATCAAGTAATTGTTTTCCTATGAGGAAAATAACCATGAGCTGTATCATGCTACTTAGCTTTTATGTAAATATTTCTTATGTCTCCTCTATTAAGAGTATTTAAAATCATATTTAAATATGAATCTATTCATGCTAACATTATTTTTCAAAACATACATGGAAATTTAGCCCAGATTGTCTACATATAAGGTTTTTATTTGAATTGTAAAATATTTAAAAGTATGAATAAAATATATTTATAGGTATTTATCAGAGATGATTATTTTGTGCTACATACAGGTTGGCTAATGAGCTCTAGTGTTAAACTACCTGATTAATTTCTTATAAAGCAGCATAACCTTGGCTTGATTAAGGAATTCTACTTTCAAAAATTAATCTGATAATAGTAACAAGGTATATTATACTTTCATTACAATCAAATTATAGAAATTACTTGTGTAAAAGGGCTTCAAGAATATATCCAATTTTTAAATATTTTAATATATCTCCTATCTGATAACTTAATTCTTCTAAATTACCACTTGCCATTAAGCTATTTCATAATAAATTCTGTACAGTTTCCCCCCAAAAAAGAGATTTATTTATGAAATATTTAAAGTTTCTAATGTGGTATTTTAAATAAAGTATCATAAATGTAATAAGTAAATATTTATTTAGGAATACTGTGAACACTGAACTAATTATTCCTGTGTCAGTCTATGAAATCCCTGTTTTGAAATACGTAAACAGCCTAAAATGTGTTGAAATTATTTTGTAAATCCATGACTTAAAACAAGATACATACATAGTATAACACACCTCACAGTGTTAAGATTTATATTGTGAAATGAGACACCCTACCTTCAATTGTTCATCAGTGGGTAAAACAAATTCTGATGTACATTCAGGACAAATGATTAGCCCTAAATGAAACTGTAATAATTTCAGTGGAAACTCAATCTGTTTTTACCTTTAAACAGTGAATTTTACATGAATGAATGGGTTCTTCACTTTTTTTTTAGTATGAGAAAATTATACAGTGCTTAATTTTCAGAGATTCTTTCCATATGTTACTAAAAAATGTTTTGTTCAGCCTAACATACTGAGTTTTTTTTAACTTTCTAAATTATTGAATTTCCATCATGCATTCATCCAAAATTAAGGCAGACTGTTTGGATTCTTCCAGTGGCCAGATGAGCTAAATTAAATCACAAAAGCAGATGCTTTTGTATGATCTCCAAATTGCCAACTTTAAGGAAATATTCTCTTGAAATTGTCTTTAAAGATCTTTTGCAGCTTTGCAGATACCCAGACTGAGCTGGAACTGGAATTTGTCTTCCTATTGACTCTACTTCTTTAAAAGCGGCTGCCCATTACATTCCTCAGCTGTCCTTGCAGTTAGGTGTACATGTGACTGAGTGTTGGCCAGTGAGATGAAGTCTCCTCAAAGGAAGGCAGCATGTGTCCTTTTTCATCCCTTCATCTTGCTGCTGGGATTGTGGATATAACAGGAGCCCTGGCAGCTGTCTCCAGAGGATCAAAGCCACACCCAAAGAGTAAGGCAGATTAGAGACCAGAAAGACCTTGACTACTTCCCTACTTCCACTGCTTTTTCCTGCATTTAAGCCATTGTAAATCTGGGTGTGTTACATGAAGTGAAAATTAATTCTTTCTGCCCTTCAGTTCTTTATCCTGATACCATTTAACACTGTCTGAATTAACTAGACTGCAATAATTCTTTCTTTTGAAAGCTTTTAAAGGATAATGTGCAATTCACATTAAAATTGATTTTCCATTGTCAATTAGTTATACTCATTTTCCTGCCTTGATCTTTCATTAGATATTTTGTATCTGCTTGGAATATATTATCTTCTTTTTAACTGTGTAATTGGTAATTACTAAAACTCTGTAATCTCCAAAATATTGCTATCAAATTACACACCATGTTTTCTATCATTCTCATAGATCTGCCTTATAAACATTTAAATAAAAAGTACTATTTAATGATTTAACTTCTGTTTTGAAATGTTGTATACACGTGGATTTTTTTCTCATTAAATAATAATTCTAGTATTTGATGGAGGCCTTCTAATACTTTTCTGAGTTATTTCTTTTCAGAAGCATCCAGAAAGCAATACATGTGATAGTTATGGAGGGGTTTTGTTTGTTTTTACTAAAATAGTCATTTAGAAAAACCTCCATTTACATTTATTTTATTACATTATTTCATTTTACTAGCATTCATTAAGCATCTTTAAATCAGAACACACACAATATTCAAGCTATTCTGTAAACTCCCCGTAGCAGAAATTTTGTCTTATTTACTACTAAATCCCCAGTATCTAGTATAATGTGATCTATGATGGATACTAAAGAGATATTATAATAAATAATTACCCATTTTTACAGAAAATTATGTTTTTTATCATCCCGCATCCATGCAGCCATGCCTACATCCTCTTGCCTCTTCCTCATGCCTTGCCTCCTGGCCAGTGGCCTAGCGCTACCCTGTTGTCCTAAAGAGTTTCTGCTGCTGCTGCCACTACCACCACCACCACACTGCTATATGTTGAGGAGTCCTGTACACTGTGCCACTGACAAGGAGTAACTGACCTTTGTGCCTGTGCACCAGATCTGTCTGTGGAGGTTCTGGCTTCCCCAGCTGCTGCCTGGAAATGCTTAGGTGCTAATATCCTGAGAGGAGGATTGTCAGGTAAAATACAGGACTCTCAGTTAAATTTGAATTGCAGACAAACAATAAATTACTTTTTATTATAAGCATGGGCTTTTTAAAATTTTTCTAAATCTGGCAACCCTACTTAAGGAGTGAACTTTGATCAAGGAGGTACAGCACAAAATGAAGCTAGTAGATAAATTCTCCCTTCCTTTCCCCCAGATAGGCTGTTCTAAAGTGCAATAATTCATAAGACCTTCATGAAAATATCCTCAAAGACCGAGCAATTAACTGCACTTGTTGCAAAGCTATGACAAGCTCACTAACACCTGTGTTTGTGTTCCCTTCTCCTACTGCCTCACTTCCATGTTTTTCCTCACTTCTGTTTCTCAGAGATAGTACTCCCCATAGAGTGGCAGCAGGTGAGTGTTGGTGTTGTTTGTTTATGGCAGGCTTGGGGAACCTAGACTAGTACAGTACTTTTGGTAGTGGATTCTTCTAATGGGAAGTGAAACAAGAGACAAATGATGACTTTGAGAAAGTCAGGCACGGGACCCTGCAGACTCAAAATCCAGATTTGTTGAGACCCCTGAGAGTAGAAAAACCCCTCAGGGGCAGATTCACATTGATCAAATGTACAGTCATACACTGTTAAATCAAAATAGTAACTCAGCACTACTGTGTGAAATATCAGTGTCCTGTAGGCGAGAATACCATTTGTGCCTTGATTAAACATACTTTATTCTTGAATCTGCTGTTTATAAGAATTGAAGTTATAATTCAAAAGATACTGGGATCTGTTATGGGCTGAACTGTGTTTCCTCAAAATTGATACATTGAAATCCTAACTCCCACACTACCTCAGAATGTATTTGGAGATAGGATCTTTAAAGAGGTAAAGTGAGGTCATACAGTTGGGCCCTAATCCAGTATGACTGGTGTCCTCATAAGAAGAGGAGATTAGGAATCAGGCATGCACAGAGGGAAGACCACGTGAAGTAAAAGGGAGAAGACGGCATGCCAAGGAGAGATGCCTCGAGATGAAACCAATCCTGCCAACACCTTAGTCTTCAACTTCTAGCCTCCAGAACTGTAACAAAATAAATTTCTGTTGTTAAAGCCACCCAGTCTGTGGTATTTGTTACAGCAGTCTTCAAAAACTAATACAAGGTTCATAGAATCAAAACAAGTCAATTTAGATATAGAACTCAAATAATTAATGTCATTGGAACAAACCTGTCTGATTAATCTTGCTCCACAACAAAGACAGTTCTATCCTGGGGTTATTGCACTATAACTACCCACCATTTAAACACAATAAATAGTTGTTCTAAAATCTCGGGAACATTTTTTTTTCATATAATTATTCCCATGTCATGGAACTGAAGCTTTGGGTAAAAGCGCTTTATAAATTCTTCTTTTAATTTTTTTTACTTTCAATTTGTTTACTTTTCCACTAAACACGAGTAGTTCCTGCAGCTTCCTACTTAAAAATCACTTGCAGTTTGGGTTATTGTTAGTATACTTTTCATTAGAATGGTTGTCTTCAGGGGTGACTATTCTTTTACTTTCGTTTTCTGTTCCACGTGCTTATTCTTCCCAAATGTACATTAATGATTCTGTTGGAAAGAGGTAATTACTTTTGTTTTGTTTTTAGGCTTTGTTTCTGTGCTGTCAACCTGAAAAAGTTTTTTAAAACAGTGAAGTATAGGCTGGGAGCGGTGGCTCACGCCTGTGATCCTAGCACTTTGGGAGGCCAAAGTGGGCAGATCGTTTGAACCCAGGAGTTCAAGACCAACCTGGGCAATATGGTGAAACCCCATCTCTACAAAAAACAACAAAAATTAGCCAGACACGGTGGCACACACTTGTAGTTCCAGCTGCTCGTGAGGCTAAGGTGGGAGGTGGGAGGATCACCTGAGCCCAGGGAGGTCAGGGCTGCAGTGAGCAGAGATCACGCCACTGCACCCCAGCCTGGGTGACAGAGTGAGACCCTGTCTCAAAAAAAAAAAAAATTAAGTATAATAAATTCTGGTTTTGTATGCATTTCTTCTCTTACAGAATTTCCCTAAAGCTAACCTACTAAAAACTATGACTAGATTTCATATGTGCTATAAACATTCTTTATTTAAAATAAATTACTCTAATTCAGAAAGGAATAACATTTGCTTGCACATTTAGAACATCTGGCATTAGAGACTATAAAATTCATATATAGTCTCAAATACTTATTAGACATATTCTTAATTCAAGAATATATAATTATTCATATGATTAGAAATAATTATAATTTTACTAAACATTGCTAATTAGGCAGAGTACAAACAAGAAAAAGTCAGAAGGAAAATAGAACCACAATTTGCAATATATTTATTTTAAAACATTTTTAGCTTTCTTTGTTACTTTTAAAAGTAAAACTTGTAAGTCAATATATTATTAAAACTACTAGTTAATCTTTAAGTCTACAGGTGCTACTAAGAAATTGCAATTTGTAACTTAACAGAGATATTAAATTCTGTAGAATTGTTACCACATTCAAGCATTTCTATTCTGTAGGTATAACTCATTTCCCATGTTTCTCTGCTATTTATCTTTTTGCTGAAATAATTTACTCCTTCAGTAGTCATTTCACCCTTTCACCCTTCTGTGTTTTTGTGTCATAACAGAAGAATCACTAAATAATGATTAAAATTAAGTCAACATACCAAATATAAAGTTAAAGCTTTTATGAAGCTTAATCTTTGTGCACTTACCAAGAAGAAAAGTAAACCCACTATTATTTGGGAACAAAGGACTTGGAAAATCCACGAATGGAATAATTAGTGAAAACCAGTTTTATGGATGCTGTTAAAACTACTCCAAAGCAATAATAATGACAACACACATAAACATACACACACACACACACACACTCACACACATGAGCAGTGCTTCTCAAATTTTGATGTGAGGCTGAGGATCTTGAGAGATCAGAATCTCAGAATGGAGATTCTGAGTCAGTAGGTCCACCAGGCGGCAAGAGAGTCTCCATTCCTAACAGAGTCCCTAGTAATGCCAGTGCAAGTAGCCCAAGGACCCCATTTTGAGTAGCAAGGACCTGGAGTATTTACCTTACTTTGGATAACTTACAAAATGCTTTAATTTGGCTTCAAATCAAAATAAAAAGTAATTTATAATCCTTGAAATCTTTTAATGAACATTTTTTGAGTGACTAGTATGATATGGACCAGGAAGTCCCAAAGTATGTTCTCCAGACCAATAGCATCAACATTGTTTGGGAACTGGTTAAAAGCACATATCCTTGGGCCTCACCCAGACTTACTGAAGCAGAGACTCTGCAGGTAGGGCTTGAGATTCTGTTTTAACTATTTCTCCAGACGATTCTGATACACATTAGGTTTTGAAAACTACTGCTCTAGACAGTATGCTGAGGGTCTGGGGTGCATATCAAAGTGACTCTCAAGAATCTCAGTACAGTAGGAAGGGGTCCAATTGCTGAACCAGTTGATACCATTAAGTATGTGATGAGTACAAAAACGGAATGACAGACAAGGTTGCACCCAACACAGCAAAGGATGTAAAGGTTTCCTAGAAAATGTCATGTTAACTGAATTTCATAGGGATTAGCCATCTGAAGACGGTGGCATGTACAACATAATGCAAATGTTATGCGGGAGGAAACCTGCTGGCACCTTTCGAAAACTGCAGTAATTCACCCAAGATGGCTGGCTGTGGGGTGTTTGAAGACTCCTCTACCCTTGTCCTTCTCACCTGTCCATGAGTAAAACAAATACCGTTAGAGCTAGAAAAAAAAAATTACAAAGCTGAGTCTATTAACTTGCCAAGCAAGAGAACTTACTCCATGAAGAATTTCACTGAGGAGGGAAAGTCAGGGGTTTTTAAATGTTAGAAGTGGGGAGCTTATGGGGCTTATGCTAATTAAGCATTGGAAACTGGCACTCTGGATATGGGGCAGAATGAATATATAGGTCTCTACACCATTGGTTAAATAAAATAAATATCCCATTGTTCACTAGTCAGGAAAGTCTCTTCAGTTAGGTCCAGTGAGGAAGGTGCCTGTCTAAGGTTACTGAGGCTTAAAGACCCTTATCAGCTTCAGCCTGTGCTGTTAAAATACAAGAGTCAGTTGATGTCTCCTAGGCAAGCTCTACTTTAAGTGGAAATTTTTCCTTTCCCCTCCCTCCTCTTCATCTTTCCTGATCCTGAGATGCTAGGATGACCACACAAAGGATATGCAAATAATCCAATTGTCAGCTCTCTGCCACCATCTTGGTTTGGGGTGCCATTCCACAGGATTCCATTGTATTCATCCAAGTAGTTTCAGTCTCCTTTCGATGTGGTTTACTTGGACTGTGTAACAGCAATTTAAGTCATATGAATAAAACACTTAACATGCTTTGCACTTTCCCTAGGTGGAAGCAACCTTAGACCTACTAAACTGCCCTCTAGATGTAATAAGGCCTAAGAATGGTTCTAAAGATATCTATCAGTAGCTAGGCAGCAGAGTGGTGCAGCAGAAGCATGCTGGGCCCATAAAGATACCAATGAGTAGCTGTAGAGATGAAAGAAAAACAAAAAGAATGTGGAAGCCTAGGCAAGGGGGTTGTAAAAAGAGGAGAGGGGTCAACAGTGTAAAATACTACAGACTAGTATAACAGGATGAGAACTGAAAAATGTTAATAGACTTTGACCCCAAGTGTTGGTGATCTCACAGTTTCAGAGGGCTGAGGATGAGAAAAGCGGAAGAATGACTAGAAGTGTGGAAACAGGTGCTAGAAATGCTCACTACTCTCAACAAAACTTGGTCTCTTCGGCTAGGATTTACAATCAAATGCTGCCAGTCCTAATCTAGTGTTACCATTTTTCTTTTAGGGCCAGAAATATTCAACGTCTGAGGCAGAAGGAACCTTCAAAATCACTTATCAACCTCATTCTAGAAATGAGGAGAGAAGCTCTGAGAAGTGAAGTAATATTTATTTTCATTGAATTTATATGTAATTTTAAATTCATAAATTCTATGGAAGATACAAAAATGCACGTTTAAATCTTGAATAATTTTTGAAAGTTTAAAAAACAGATTAAAAGAGTTAGAGTTTTTTAAATTTTCAGTTATGGTGTTTGAGTTATTAAATTATACTGATGATCATCATGAGAAGCTTTCCATTATAGTCTTGACCCTTCTTGTATTATTATTCAGTCTACAATGGATAGGCAACAACATGTCAACTGAAAAATCATAAGATCTATAAATTTAGAAAGGAGACTTTGTTTCTTATAATGAGTTACAACCTGCAGGCTGGCCATTCTGCAGGCTGGGAAGCCCAGGCTCCCACAGAGACAGTCAACAGGCACTTTGAAGGAGGTGGGGTTGGAGCAGAAGCTTTATGCTGAATGAGTTGGCTAAACAGACATATTCAACAGATTGTAAGAAGAGCTGTGAATCTTCACTAAGAGGGGTGCTGAATAAACATGCATGTGACATGCATCCCATGCTCACTGTGGAGTGGAAACTTAACATTTAAATGCATTACAGTCCCTATACATCAAAAGGAGAAGCAGAGACATGAATGTACTAGTGCTCAGTCTCTGTAAACCTGCCAGAACCAGTCCATAGTGGGTGGTCTTTTATCAGGGGAAAGTTACTGAATCGGTCCCTTGTCCAATCAAACCTGCAGTTATGACTTGTGGAACAGGAGGGTCTTGTTAGTCAACATCTGGCCATGGATGAGCTGCAATTATTTCAATATTGCTTATGTCGAGGGCAGTTCTTATTTAACAGCTAGAGAAAAATAAAAACATTGCAGCAGTTAAAACAAAGGTTATTCTTTAAGTGTAGGTGTGAGTGACTTAACTCTTGCCTGGCATGGCCTTAGGTCTTGCTTATAATTTGTTATTGCCACAGAGTCCATTCTGTTAGCCTTCTGATCTCCATTTTAACATTAATGCTGGTCAGTTGTTGAGTCTAAGCCCTCAAAGGGAGGGGGAGCCGAGCTTGGTGGCATGTGCACCTGTACTCCCAGCTATTCCCGAGGCTGAAGCGGGAGGATCGTTTGAGCCAGAGGTTGGAGGTTGCAGAGCTACGATCCTGCCACTGCACTCCAGCCTGGGGGACACAGTGAGACCCTGTCTCAAAAAACCAGGGGTGAGGGGGACGTGAAAAGGGAGGAGGTAGGGGGGTATAGCGAGGCGTGTCCGTCCTTCCGTCCCGTCAGGGCGAGGAATTCAGCTTTTAAGGTTTATCGGGGGTCCTCTTGGCCAAAAGGGGGTCCGTTCAGTCGGTTGTGGGGCTTAGGATTTAATTTTTAGTTCTCAAACAGTAATAAAGATAATGATAATCTTGACCATACGGGATGCTGTGCCAAGCACCACTTAACAAACACTGTCATCTCATTCAATCCTCACAACAGTCCTATTTTACAGATGAGAAAAGTGAGACTTCAAGGGATAACTCGCTCTAGATTCAATAAACTGACTCAAAAGCCTTTTAACATTCTGTACAATACCTTTTATGTTTGTTTATTTAACTGTCCAGTTGGGCCACTAAAGTACAGATAAAAGCTGGGGAATGTAAGCGAGACTGGTCACTTCCCTGGGGTGAGAGAAACGCTTTCAACACTATCCGTCCATCGTATCACGCCTAACGTATCCCATAGACATCCCTCACCCCTCCACCCACTCATGCCTGTTTGAAGCAAGACTATGAAGACCGAAACACACCGGGAGCCTAAGGCACCACTCCCCGCTACCTACCGAGGTGCATCCTGCAGGCTCCTTACCGCAAGCCTGCAAACTCGCCCTGCCGGGCGCGGAGTGCAATTAGGCTTTGGGGTGGTTTGGCTCTCCGGCTTTCCGTAGCCTCTGGCCCCGCCCCCTAGCAACGCGCTGGCTTGTGTTAACAACCGGCCCGGGATCAGAGGTCTGGGTCAACTGGGGGGCGGCAGCGGCGCTAAGCGGACTGTATGGCGGTGGCCTAGGCCCCTGGCGGAATTTTGGGACCTTTCGCGACTCTAGCGACTCTCAGGCTGCCTTCCCTTCTCGGTGGCGGGGCCTCTTTGGGCCCAGCGGCTGCGGGCGCACTGTAGGACAGGAAGATCCCCCCACTCTCCACCCCGCCGCCACCGGCCATGTGGACAGAGGAAGCCGGGGCGACCGCCGAGGCCCAGGAATCCGGCATCAGGAACAAGTCTAGCAGTTCCAGTCAAATCCCGGTGGTTGGGGTGGTGACGGAGGACGATGAGGCGCAGGTATGAGCAGGTGTCTGTGCTTTCAGAGGTGGAGGGGGTGGGAGTGAAGTCTCGAGACGGGGTCCAGACCTGGGGGTGGCAAGGGTGGAACTGGGGACAGGAGTGAAGATGGGGGAAGCCGCGGGATGGAGATTCCAAGCGCAGAGCTAATCCTGATCCCCCACCCCCTGCGAACTGCACCGGTTGCGAGGGGCTGGCTGTTGTCAACCATCCTGTCTGGGGACCAGCGCTGTGTGGTCCTCCTGGAGGGTCCTAGCAAACTGAGTAGGCGGGGTTTTGCCGCGCTTCTTCGAAAAGTGGTCATAGAGCTACAGGGAGGAAAGGAATCATTCTTAGCAAAATCTTGATTTGATGACCTGATCAGTTTGAACTGAACTTTTTAATACGTAGATCCCTGTTACCGAGTGATGTTCTTGATATAGATGTAAATTTTCCCATGCTTAAATTTGCTGCGACTAAAGCCTGCACCCAGAGGGGAGGAAAACGCTGTTAAATTAGAAATTAAGCATTTTTAAAATATGAAATTGGAAGCTGGTTGTTACACGTTGGGTCGGAGAGAACCGGGAGAGAATAGAGTTGATTTGTTTTATTATGCTTGTACTGTATTTGGTTTTGGGTTTGCTTTTGTTATGAATACAAAATTCACTCTTGGAAGTTGATCTGTTGAGAAATTCCATTTGAGGCCCTTGGATCTCTATTCGAGGCGGAGGTGTTTAGAAACCCCAAGTTGTTTGTTTCCTACTAGGATTCCATTGATCCCCCAGAGAGCCCTGATCGTGCCTTAAAAGCCGCGAATTCCTGGAGGAACCCTGTCCTGCCTCACACTAATGGTGTGGGGCCACTGTGGGAATTCCTGTTGAGGCTTCTCAAATCTCAGGCTGCGTCAGGAACCCTGTCTCTTGCGTTCACATCCTGGAGCCTTGGAGAGTTCCTTGGGAGTGGTCAGTTGACTGGGGAATAGAGTTGAGCTCTCTGAGGTCTGACATTTACGCAGTAACCTGCGGAGCAACAGCATTTTGCATGAGGAGAAATAGGTGTTAGGGGAATTTGCCTAATCGATTTTGTGGACCTATTCCCCTCTGGGCGGGGAGAATTTTGAGGAACAATAGCTCTCCACTCCCTGGGCTGCAAGAAAGATCAACAATACAGCCATACTCCCAGGCAAGGGGCAAAACTGAAAAGTATGTGAATTTGATAACTGATGGCTCTCAGTCTTCCTTTACTTGCTCCAAGAAAAATTGGGCAACGTTATACAAGGCAAGCAAGCGTGGATTTTTTTTTTTTTTTAGGGAAAAATACTTTTTAAAAGCCATTGCCAAAATAGTCCAAAACATACCAAATGAAACAAGTATACCTGTGTATATGTGTGTGCATTTTCTCCCCATTTTAATTTTCTTTCTTTTCTTTCATTACTACTGCTCTTTCCAGGGCCTAGGATTCTCTTCCAAGAAGAAAGCAATCAATTTGCATTAATTCATGTTTCTGACTTGTTAATTACTAATTCTAAGAGTAGTAACATTTTCGAAGTACTGAGGAAAAAGGTAGTTTCTCCCCAAAGAAATAGAATAGGAACTTTTTATAGCTGGGAGAAATCTTAGTGATCCTCAGCCTTCTTGTTTTTTGCCTGTGGTTGTTTTTACAAATGAGAACCCTAAGTTCATGAGAAGTTAACTGAGTTACTCAGTTTCTTTACTCATAGAATGGGGGTCTAGAGACCCTGGAACGAAAAAATGATAACCTTTTAGGCCTCTGCCTTAGGCCAGTTTAGGAAAGATCCTGGGAACTGTTTCCAGTTCTTTCAAACCACTGCACATTTGCAAACTTCTCTTCTGCCTGTGTGTGCTTCTGAGACAGTATATCCTAGTGGCTAAAGGTGAGAGTATCACAACTACTTCAGTTCATTGTCAGCTTCATCACTTACCAGCTATGTGACCAAAGACCAGTATCTTAACCTTTCTATCAAATGGAGATAATGACAGTACTCATGTCCATTGTAAAGATTAAATTAAATAATATATATAGGCCGGGTGTGGTGGTTCACACCTGTAATCCCAGCACTTTGAGAGGCTGGGGAGGGCAGATCACGAGTTCAGGAGATCAAGACCATCCTGGCCAACATGGTGAAACCCCGTCTCTACTAAAAATACAAAAATTAGGTGGGCATGGTGATGCACGCCTGTAGTCCAGCTACTTGGGAGGCTGAGGCAGGAGAATCACTTGAACATGGGAGGCAGAGGTTGAAGTGAGCCAAGATTGTGCCACTGCACTCCAGCCTGGCGACAGAGTGAGCCTCCGTCTCAAAAAAACAAAACAAAACAAAACAAAAAGAAATAATATATAAGCAAACTTATACAATAATATAGAGAACTTATAGAGAGACCTATATATATAATTGAAAACAAGCAGTTATCAACATCATCATTGTCATTGTCATCATCCTTTATCCAGGGAACTAGAGCTCATAAAGTTATTTGGGCCTTAAAGCTAAGGGATTCTCTAGAATTCTGATTGTTCCCACTGGCTTCCAGGATGTGAGAGTGAGACTGGATGCCCCTGAAATCTTACTTGCTTTAATGCAGATTTCGGTCTGCTCACTTTATCCCTTCAGAGATGTTTCTAAGTTGCAGCTGGATTTCCTAATATAGAAATGCTACTTTGGCTACCTGGGCTTTTGATAGCTGTTTTATATCATTTTCTTTATTACAGACCTAAATTGAACCTTTCAGTTACCCTAACCTTAGTTTTTAGTAATTAAAGAAATAGGCTTGAATATTGCTGCCTAAGGCAGCAGGTAAAATGTACGGGTTATTTTGCTGATTTTTCTGTGTGTATGCTTTACTTCTGCATTAAGTGGTATTTTTTTCCTGCATCTTTCACAAAAATAACTTTGTAAAAGGCAATAGCGCCTATAAATTCTATCTAAGCTACTACAAATGATATTCACAGAGTATTAGATTTTTCTAACTTTAATAACTTTGAAATGTTCTCTGATAGAATTATGGAAAATGTAAATATAGATTATGAGTAAAGTTATTAGTAAATAGGGAAAACAATAGTTTAGGAATCTGGGATTTTGAATTGTTATTTTCATTCCATGTTGTGAACTTCTCATAGACATATTCTATGTAAACATTATATCTTCAAATTTTCTCTCTATAAAAATTTTGATAATCCCTACTGTAGTGATTCCAGCGTCTTCTTTTTTAAAGTGATTATCATACTTTTCCAGTTTCGAAACAATAAAATAGTACCAGAATTTTGGTGGCCATTTTCTAATTGTGAGGAACTTAGGACATGTTGCTTGCCCTTTCTGTGTCTGTTTCCTCATCTGTAAAAGATATTTTTAGAAATGCCTACCTCATCGAATTATTGTGAGAATTAAAGTATTTGTAAGGCATTTAGCACAGTGCCCAGCACATACATTCCAAGTGCCCCATAAATGGTAACTTTCTGCTATTATTAATGACTCTAGTCATAACAGCTTTATTAAATTATTAAATAAATTCAGATGATATTTACAGGGTTATATGGTTTGGCTTTGTGTCCCCACCCAAATCTCATCTCGAATTGTAATCCCCAGGTGTTGAGGGAGGGACCTGGTGGGAGGTGATTGGATCATGGGGGTGATTTCCCCCATGCTGTTCTCATGATAGTGAGTTCTCACGAGATCTGATGGTTTTATAAGAGGTTCTTCCTCTTTGCTCTCTCTCTCTCTGTCTTTCCTGCCACCTGTGAAGGAGGTCTTTGCTTCCCCTTTGCCTTCCGCCATGACTGTTTTTCTTGAGGCCTCTCTAGCCAGGTGGAACTGTGAGTCAATTAAACCTCTTTCCTTTATAAATTACCCAGTCTTGGGTGTGTCTTCATAGCAGTGTGAAAACAGACTAATACACTGGGTATCAAAACCTACCAAATAGGAAGATAGTTCTCAGATTGTTTTTCTAGTATTAATCCCAGTGTTTATGTGGCTCTGGCTTCCTACAGGAAGGTAGAGGTAATGTAGTTTAAAGGGTGCTTTATCCCCTGGAGAGTGATGGGATTGGCAGTGAAATTCACCTTAATCATATGTTGAAATCACAAGATATCTAATTTATCTATTTTCTATTTAGTTTTGTTCCCCTCATTCTAAAGTATCCCAACCCCCTTTAGAGCAGTGCTTCTCAAATTTTAATGTGCATATGGAGCACATGGGGATCTTATTAAAATGTGGATTCTGATTCTGTAGGTCTTAGATGAACCCCAGCACTCCGCTTTTCTAACAGGTTTCCAGGTGATGCTTGTGCTGCTAGTTGGAGGACCTCATTTCCCACTTTGAATAACAATTAATATAATGATTAGTTGACTGGCGTAGGTATCATGCCTGAACTTCCTTGCTCAAATTTGCTCTCCCTCTGAGAACCCATGAGAACTTCCACAATCTTTTAGTTGATATCATATCCTGTCACTGTCAGTAATACTTCCATGAACTGTGTGCTTAAAATTGTCTAGCCTTGTTTATAGGGTTTTTGCAAGAAATAACCTCTGTAGTTGGCTGCATGTGTCTATAGTGCCAGCTACTTGAGAGGCTGAAGCAGGAGGATCGCTTGAGCCTAGGAATTCAAAGCTAGCCTGGGCAACATAGGGAGACCCCCACTCTTTAAAGAGAGGAGAGAGAGAGAGAGAGAGAGAGAGAGAGAGAGAGAGAGAGAGAGAGACTCCTTGGTTGTCCATTGAGGAGTCAGGCAGAGAACTAAGGAACAAAGAACCAGAGTTTCTACATTAGACAGACCTGCTGGCCCATTTATTATTAATAGCTACGTGGCTTTAACAAGTTAGGTCCCAGGGCCTCAGTTTCATTAAGAGGGATAATAGTGCTACCTTTACTTGGTAGATTTGAAGACTAATTGAGATCAAAAATGCCAGACACATGAAAGGACCACTATAAGTGTTAGTCTCTTTCCCTGTAACTGAGTATCAAATGAGCAGGTTTCTCCCTCTGAAATGTCCCTGGGTAAAGTGGGAAATAAGTTCATCCTATAATTTGAATGAAGTAAGTCTGATTGTCTTCAAAGCAATTTATTAAACTTTTGATCTTAAAAGGTTTTGTGAATGCTTTTACAATTTCTCCATAAACATCTTAAGATGATAGTATTTTGGTATTTACATATGTATGTTCTGTTTTGTTTCTATTCTCTGCTTGTGTGATCTCATTTACCCAAAATCTTCAATTGTCACGTTAAGCCTATGATTCAGAAACCTCTGCCCCAAATTTTTCTCATCTCCAACCCCCAACACAAACCTCTTCCTCCAGCATTCCCTGTCTCAGGAAATGGTGAAATCATTTATGTAATTCCTCAAGCCAGGGAATTGTCTTCAGCTTTTTCCTTCTTTCTCCCACTGCGTCCAGTAACTCATTAGGTCTTGATGAATCTACCTCTTGATGTTTTTAATTCCATTTGCTGTTGTCTATACCAGTTGCTGCTACCTATTCAAGGCCCAAAGTTACAATCTACCTCCAACCCAGTCTTCTCCCAGTCTACCTCCAAATCAGTCTCACACAGCATACAAGATGATCTTTTCATAATTAAATTCTTCTGGTTAAATCTTGTGGAAATAAATGAAGGCTACCACAATAAACAGAGACTGTTTATTCAGCGGTTGCTATAGGGAGGGATTCAGCCACTATCACTTTTTGGCAGAGACTCCAATGCAGCCTGGGAAGCTTTATAGTGGTAAAAAGAAAGGTGTGGGGGAGGCTTCAGGTCTACTCTAATTGTAGGTTGCTGACATGGGAAAGCTAGAGGTGGACTAGCTGGAAGTAGGGTATCCTCTGTGATTGACTTGGAAAGCATATTTGGCTTTCTCTGGTTGGTCTTAAGTTGGAAGCAGAGGGACAAAAACCGGGAAAGCTGGCAGTCATTGGCCAAATCCTGACTTTTCTGAGCCAATTGCAGCAGAGGTTGTTGGCCAGAGTTATTTTGTCACATATAGTCTGACCAGTTTTGTTTATATGTTCAGTCTCAAACCATTCAATGGCTTTTTAAGATCCTTGTGTTACATACAAAGCCTTCTATAAAATCCCATGCCAGACCAATAGCTGCATGAGGTGAGGACATTGTTATTCCCCACACCTAGCACAATTCCTGAAACAAAAAAAACCTACTAATAAATAGTTATAGAAGGAGGAAAAGTCTAGGGAAGGTAGAGGGAGAGAGAGAAATCTTTAAAAATCTGCCAAGCAGGTAAAACTAGAGTAACATGAAATGGATAATGCAAGATAAATCTAAGAGGAATCTATGCTTTAATCTTTACTACTCTCTGTTCTTTTAAAAATTATACCTGCTCATTTGGAGAAAAAATCTGAAAATACACACAAATATTAGAAAGAAAATCCTGCAATTGGGGTGGCCCAAGTGCAGTGCTCTTTACAGCTAATTGATTACAGCTAGTTACGGATTTCTTCCTTTTCCATTCCCACTGCTTCCCTTGATTAGCCTTAAAAAAAAAAATCCTGCATTGACATTTCATTCCAATATCCTTGTCTAACCTTCTAAACAAATATTTCAGAAAACCAGAAAAGAAAAACCCACTGTGTGTGTGTGTGTGTGTGTGTGTGTGTGTGTGTGCATGCGCGTATAAAATCTGAGAGTGTAGGAGGAAAAGAGAAAAGACAGCTGAGGTAGTGGTGGATATCACTGCCAAATCCCCAAATCTTAAAAGGCAGAAGTCTATTTACCAAAATTTTTTGTAACAGTAAATTTAACTATTTAACAGTAATATTTAACAATTTTTAATGGTAACATAAGACCAGGTATAGATTAGTATTTAGTAAATCCTTTTTAAAATTATTTTAAAAAGTAAAAATGGCTGGGCATGTTGGCTCATGCCTGTAATTTCAAAACTTTGGGAGGCTGAGACTGGCAGATTGCTTGAGCCCAGGCATTCCAGAACAGCCTGGGCAACATGGCGACACTCTATCTCTACAAAAACTACAAAAATTAGCAAAGTATGGGGTGGTGTGCCTCTGTAGTCCCAGCTGCTCAGGAGGCTGAGGTGGAAAGATTACCTGAGCCTAGGGAGGTTGAGGTAAGCAGTGAGCCGTGATTGCACCACTGCACTCCAGCCTGAGCAACAGAGTAAGACTCTATGTCAAAAATAAATAAAAATAAATATAATTTTGAGTAAATGAGCTCATTCAGATACTTACTCCACAGACTTAAAGTTAGCATGTTTCATTACAAATTGTTTTTGATGCCATGACATCTCAGTTAGGATTAATTTCTAAAAATTGTTTTTGAAAGAAATTTCTTGAGATCAGAATATATGAATTTGTAATTTTTAAAGGCAAGGAAATACTAAAACTAAGACAATGAATAATGATTATGTAGAAGTATGGAAAAGTATGTATTGCAGATTTAAAACTCAGAAGCTGCCATGGTATTAACTAACACTAAGTGAAATTGTGTAAAATACTTATGCATGTAAGGAAAAACAAAATATATAAAAATAAAAATAGATGCATTTACTACATGATAGGAATAAGTAGGATTTTTTCGCTTTTGTTTGTATCATCATTACATCACCTTTTCAAACATTTATTTTAAAGTAGAAGTAAGCGTGAAAGCAGGAAAGAGGATACAAAGGAAACTGGGAGAGCTTAACTCCTGTAATGGGGGTAAGCACTGTGACATAACCCTGAATTAAGATAAAATGTCAGGTAGCAAGGCATTAACCCCCAAGATAAATATAGTCAAAACCACACTTAGAATTTGTAGATCCCTGTATCATCATAAATACTTTACCTCTGATCGGATTATTTCATTTTTGTTGTTGTTGGGGTTGTTTGTTTTGTTTTGTTTTGCTATTTGTATTTGTTTGTTTGTTTTTTGAGACGGAGTCTCACTCTGTCACCCAGGTTGGAGTGCAGTGGTGTGATCTCGAATCACTGCAACCTCCACCTCCCGGGTTCAAGCAATTCTTCTGCCTCAGCCTCCCGAGTAGCTGGGATTACAGGTGCCCGCCATCACACCTGGCTAATGTTTTGTATTTTTAGTAAAGACAGAGTTTCATCATGTTTGCTAGGCTGGTCTCGAACTCCTAACCTCAGATGATCCACCCGCCTCCTCCTCTCAAGCGCTGGGATTATAGGCGTGAGCCATCACGGCCGGCCTTGTTTTGCTATTGAGTTGTGTTCCTTGTATATTCTTGTTATTAATCCCTTGTCAGATGGATAGGTTGCAAATATTTTCTCCCATTTTTTGGGTTGTCTCTTCACTCTGTTAATTGTTTTCTTTCCTGTGGGTACACTTTTTAGCTTGGTGTAATCCCGTTTGTCTATTTTTGCTTTTGTGGCCTGCACTTTTGAGGTCCTACCCAAAAAAACCTGTGCCCAGACTAGTGTCCTAAAGTGTTTCCCCAATGTTTTATTCCAGTGACTTCTTAGTTTGGGGTCTTATATTTAAGTCTTTAATCCATTTTGATTTGATTTTTTTATTTGGTGAGACATAGGAGTCTAGTTTCATTCTTCTGCATATGTCTGTCCAGTTTTCCTGACACCATTTATTGAAGAGACTGTTCTTTCCCCACTGTATGTTCTTGGTACCTTTGTCAAAAATGATTTGGCTGTGAATGCAGGGACTTATTTCTGGGTTCTCTGTTCTGTTTCATTAGCCTATGTGTGTGTTTTTATGCCAGTACCATGCTGTGTTGGTTACTATAGTTTTGCAGTATATTTTGAAGTCAGGTAGTGTGGTGCCTCCAGGTCTTTTCTTTTTGCTCAGGATTGCTTTGGGTGCTCGCGGTCTACTACTTAAACTTTGGATGATAGTACCCATTTCCTTCCCCGTTTACCTATGAATAACTTTATTATAATATAGCCTCTTCTTGGTTGCATTTTCCAAATCTTTATTAAGCAACTAACAATATTATATGTCAGGCCCAGTGTTGGATGCCGGGAGTGCCTGAAAGCAAAAAAATTTTTGCTCTTGAGAGAACTTTGGGGCAGGGAGTGGTGGGGAACGAACATGTAGACCCTTTCAGAACAATGTGATGGGAATTTTAATGGATATAAACTTAGGGTGCTATGAGAGCACGGCATTTTTCTAGCCTTTTTCATCCTTTGGGAAGGTAACACCTGAGCTTCGTCTTGAAGGACCTGTGGGAATTAACCAAGGAGAGGAATAGGAATGTAACAACATGAGTGACAACAGAGGAGATGTGAGAGGCATTAATGGGGAGTCATTGAATAGTTTAGACGGGTCATGTTCAGATTTCAGTTTTATTGTTCTGATGGTAGAATAGAGGATGGTGTTGAAGGGTGCAAGAGTGGAGTCGACGAGAACAGCAGGAACCCCTTGAAATTAAGTAAGAGCTAAAAACTGAATAAATCAGTAAGATGGAATGGACTCAAGAAATATTTAAGATGTAAAATCTGTAGAACTTGGAGGTTCCTGTTTTTTTAATGTGGATGACTGGAAGAATGCTGGTACTAACTGAGATAAGGGGATACCTAGTTGAGAAAAGCAATCTCCTACCTATAGTTTAGAAGCTACTCTTACCATGTATCTGCATAGGCAAACTTAGTGTAATGTGTATACAAGATAATTTTATTTCTCAACTTATGGAAGTACTATTATTCTAAATATTTTCTTGGGCCCTTCAGGGCTGATGAAATTTTAAAACATTAAGATTATACAAAATACTAGAATTCAGGAGGGGTTTTTTACTCCAAAATCTATTTATTCCTGTGAGTTTTCATCTACTGTTCATTCTCCCCTTACTATCGTAGTGTCATAAAACATTTTTTAAGTTACCAAGGGAAAGTATCATATAAATTAGTGTGTTAGATATGACTTATTGATATAGAAGATGATCTAGAATAGTAAGAGTTGTATGTTTTTTAGGATGTTTTCAAGCCTATGGACCTTAATCGTGTCATCAAACTCCTCGAAGAGACTGATAAAGTGAGTAAGCTTTGAGAGAAAATTACTCCGCTGCATTACTTACAAACTATTTCCCTGAAAGGTAACATATATTCCTTCAAATGTAAGTCTCATTTATCTCGTTTTGTTGAAAACATTTTAAATAGTACATATCTTATATTCAAGGACTATTTAAATTTAGTATGAATATATTTAATGAAGTGGGGAGACTGGAGGAAGAGAATAGATTTGCTTTTATGAGATAGACAAACCCATGGTGGCTGTAACAGAAGGAATCCTAAGAGTACAGAAAGGATCATCTAGCCTCTGTTAAGTGCTTGTTACCTAGTAGGATTGGAGGACAGAAATGGTAGAAAACAGGGTACCGTGGTGTACTAATTATGAAATCAGGATAGATACACACAAACATGTACACATAGATAATTTATTTTGAGAACAATCATATATAAGATGTAATGGAAATTAAGTTATTTTAGACACAAGACTCAAAATTGGGAAAGCAGGCATTGAGAGAAAAGACAACAAATGTATATGCACACATGCTCATATACCACCTGATGTTATCAAGAATCGACTGAATGCCTAAAAGCCAGCACACGCTAGGAACTTATGTGGTGATTTCCAAAAAGGAATACGTATTGTTAGTAAGTAGAAAATGAGTTGACCACAAATGCCCATCAATGATAGACTGGATAAAGAAAACGTGGACATATACACCATGGAATACTATGCAGCCATAAAAAAGGATGAGTTCCTGTCCTTTCCAGGGACATGGATGAAGCTGGAAACCATAATTCTCAGCAAACTAACACAGGAACAGAAATCCAAACACTGCATGTTCTCACTGATAAGTGGGAGGTGAACAATGAGAACACATGGACACAGGGAGGGGAACGTCACATACCAGGGCCTGTCAGGGGATGGGGGACTATGGGAAGGATAGCATTAGGAGAAATACCTAATGTAGATGATGGGTTGATGGGTGCAGCAAACCACATGGCACGTGTATACCTATGTAACAAACCTTCACATTCTGCATGTGTATCCCAGAACTTAAAGTATAAAAAAAAAAAAAAAATTTTTAAGTAAGTGGGTTGACCATAGTATAGCCTATCAAAAGAAAACAATGTCCTATGAATAGGAGGCACAAAAATTTGGTCACTGTTTTAACATTTTTTATTCTCTGCTTTTTTACATATAAAGGAGAAAAAGTGACTATTGGAATAATTTATCTTTTTCTGGCTATCATTGTTGTGAAAAGTTATTTTTTATTGTGACTATATCTACATTTCCTTAAAAAACCACAACTGCATAGAGTGCCTATTAGCTGTTTAATAAGGCTACAGAGAAAAAGTATAGACAATATCACAGCTTTTCAGGAACATTTAAGATTAAAAGGACAGACAGAATTCAGTCATGGAAACACATCACTGTGTAGAAGTTTTACTTGCTTATTTTCATTTTTAATTGACTTAAGATGTTTGGCTTGCACAGAACACTGAGCATATTTTAGAAGTTAAAAATACAATCTCTACAGTCAGCTTTCCAAATTTGTCTTCTAACACCACCACTTTTTAGCTGTGTATTTTGGACACGTTACTTTAAAATGTTTCAGCTTGTGTTTCCTATTCTGGAAAACAGAGATCATAGTAGTATCTTCCTAATAGGGTCATTTTGGAAATTAATGAAGTGATATGTATATATGGTACCCATGTGGTACATGACGTAGAAAAAATATTCAATGTACTTTAGCTGTTGTTAATATTATTTCTGGAAACAATTACTGCTTTTATATTAACCTGGTTTTGATTCCCAATTTCCTAATCAAATTTAAATAATAGTTTATTTTTGATACATAATGTCTGTAAATGTTTATGGGGTACTTGTGATATTTTGTTACATGCATAAAATGTGTAATGATCAAGTCAGAGTATTTAGGCTATCTACCACCTCTAGCATTTATCATTTCTATGTGTTGGGAGCATTTCAAATCCCCTCTTCTAGCTAGTTTGAAATATACAATACATTGTTGTTGACTTTAGTCACCCTACTTTGCTAACAAATATTCACTAACACAGTCTTCCTATCTTTTGTAATTATCATTCTAGTCTATATCTCCATGAGAACAACTTTTTTAGCTTCCACACATGAGTGAAAATGTGTGATATTTGTCTTTCTAAACATGGCTTATTTCACTTAATATCTTCTAGTTCCATCCATGCTGCTACAAATGACAGAATTTCATTCTTTTTTATGGCTTAATAGGATTCCATTGTATATATAGACCATATTTTCTTTATCCATTCATCCATTGATGGACACTTAAGTTGATTCTGTATCTTTGCTATTGTGAGTAGTGCTGCAATAAACATGGAACTGTAGGTATCTCATTGATACACTGATTTCCTTTCCTTTGGATAAATACCCAGTAGTGAGATTGCTAGATCATACAGTCGTTCTGATAGTTTATTTTTACCTTCACTGTTTCAGAAAACATTTTATAACGTTTACATTATAATATAGTAATTTAAGAATTACTTGATAATTTTAAAGTGTCTACTTTTATGTTGAAGAATTTTTTAAAATCTCAACAGATTTAAAAGCACAAAAGAACTAAAATAGGTGATCTGTTTTAGGATGGCTTGGAAGAAAAACAACTTAAATTTGTCAAGAAACTGGTACAGTGTTATCAGAATGGACTTGTATCCTTTACATATATATGTATGTTCATTTCATTTATTCTGAAATGAGAATTTCTTTTAGAAAATGTGTTAGTTTTCCATTGCTGTTGTAACAAATTACCATAAATTTGATGGCTTAAAACAACATAAAGTTATTATCATACAGTTTTGGAGGTTAGAAGTCCAAAATCAGCCTCAGTGGACTAAAGTCAAGATGTTGACAGGGCTGGTTTCTCCTGAAGACTCTAGAAAGGAATCATTTCCTTGCCTTCCCCAGCTTCTGGAGGCTTCCTACATTCCTTGCCTCATGCCCTCTTCCCCCCACTGGCATCACTCTCACCTCTGCTGCTGTCGTCACATCATCTTCTCTGTCTGACCCTCCCTTCCTCCCTCTTTCCTTTATAAGGATCCCTGTGATTACGGTGGGCCCACCTGGATAATCTAGTATAATTTTCTCATCTCAAAATTCCTAATCATATGTGAAAAGTCCCTTTGCTATGTAACATAGTTACAGGTTCCAGGAATTAGGACATAGATATCTTGGGGAAGGCCATTAATCTGTCTACCACAGAAATACTGGAGAGGCCATTATTCTGTCTACCACAGAAAATATCTAACATTTTATGTTCTTTATAAGACTGTATTTTCTATCAGATAATGTAAATAAAATTGAAGAAACAATATAACACAAGTAACTGTGGATAATGTCAGTTTTTGTCGATTCAGAAAGACAATGGATGTAGTTAGAGGGCCAAGTCAAAGTCATTATTTCTATTAATTTACATGGGCAGTTGTACCTTTGATAAGCTCTCCACCCTTGTAAAGTAATAGAAGCTCATGAGGTTGTTAGCAAGATTAGATGAGATCATGTACATCCAAGTGCTTGATAATCTGCAAAATATTATATAAATATATTATCCCTACTAAATATACGACCCTGACCAGAATACATGAAAACCAGTGTGTCTTAAAACTATCTGTACGTAAAAGCCAGGTGTGATGGCTTACACCTATAATCCCAGCACTTTGGGAGGCCAAGACAGGAGGATTGCTTGAGGCTAGGAGTTCAAGACCAGACTGGTCAACATACCAAGACCCTGCCTCTACAAAAAAACAAATAGCCAGGTGTGGTGGTGTGTGCCCATATTCCTAGCTACTGGGAAGGCTAAGACAGGAGGATTGCTGAAACCCAGGAATTCAAGGTTACAGTGATCAAAGATTTTGACACTATACTCCAGTGTGAACAACTGAGTGAGACCCTGTCTCAAAAACAAACAAACAAACACTACCTTTGGATAAGAACCAGTTTGTTTTGTTTTGTTTTGGGGTGTTTGTTTGTTTGTTTGTTTGTTTGTTTTTGACACAGAGTCTCCATCCAGCCTTAGTTGCCCAGACTGGAGTATAGCGGGGCAGTCATAGCTCACTGCAACTTCAAACTCCTGGGCTTAAGCGATCCTCTCACCTCAGCCTCCCAAGTAGCTGGGACTACAGGAATGCACCCACCACACCCAGTTAATTCTTTATTTTTTTGTGGAGTCTCATTATGTTGTCCAGGTTGGTCTCAAATTCCTCAGCTGAAACAATCCTCTCGCCTCGGCCTCCCAAAGTGCTGGGATTACAGGTGTGAGCCACCACAGCTGGCCATTTTTTTTTAACATTTACATATATATGCTATTGTAAAATACAATAAAAGTATCCCACAAATATTAGATTGTTATAAAAGTTTTTATATGTCCACTCTCACTTTATGTATTCATTTTGTCACAGACTAGTAAATATACTTCCAGAACTGACAGTGGTCCATAGACCACACTTTGAATAGTATTCATCTAAATCAAGCTTGTCCAACCCTCAACCTGTGGGCTGCATGCTGCCCAGGATGGCTTGGAATGCAGCCCAACACAAATTTGTAAACTCCTTACAACATTATGATTTTTTTGATAATTTTTTTTAGTTCATCAGCTATCATTAGTGTTTGAGTATTTTATGTGTGACCCAAGACAATTCTTCTTCTTCCAGTGTGGGCCAGGGAATCCAAAAGACTGAACACCCTGAAAATGATCTTGAACAGTTGTCTGACTTGGTCTAAAGAAGTTATCAAGCCCGTGCATTGTGGCTCATGCCTGTAATCTCAGCACCCTAGGAGTCTGAGGCAGGAGGATCATTTGAGGCCAGGAGTTTGAAACCAGCCTGGGCAACATAGCAAGACCCCATCTCTAAAAAAAAAAATAGCCATGTATGGCGATGCACACCTGTAGTTTTATCTTCTCCAGAGGCTGAGGCTGAGGTGGAAGGGTCGTTTGAGCCCAGAAATTCGAGGCTGCAGTGAGCTATGTTTGTGCCACTGTACTCCAACCTGGGTATGGGTGACTGAGTGAGATCCTGTCTCTAAAAAAAAGAAAAAAAGAAAAGTTATCAAGCTCTAATATTAGCTCATTCCAGTTCAAAACCTCTTAAGACTTCCATTCAGGAAAATGTTTCTTATAATTTAATCTAAATCTTTTATTATGTTTTAGCCTTGGTTTTATTTGGACCTGTTCCATCTTAGGGCTTGTGTATATCAAGCCCTATTTACTGGTAGCTGAAAATGTCTACTAGCAGGGATTTCTTTTCCTATTTTAACCTGACATCTCAACACCTCCATTTTTTTTTTCTTCATGTTAAACCGTTGGTGGCAATTGGCTCTATTTCTAAATCCCTCTCATAGGCTGGCTATAGAAGTTGTAAAACTTAGCAAAGTTAGAGAAGTATCTTGGTCACTTCTCTAGGAAGTTAACAGAGCTTTCTATTTCCAGTGTACCCTGCTCTCCCATCTTTTCCTAAAAGGTCCTAGAAAAAGGCTAGGAGTAATAAGATTCAACCAAGAAGTGTAAGTCACATCTACCATAATTTCTTAGCTGTAAAACAAAATCAATGAAATGTGTTTATGTGCCAATAGGATTTTTTTTTTTTTTTGAGACAGAATCTCACTGTGTCACTCAGGCTGCAGTGCAATGGCATGATCTCAGCTCACTGCAATCTCCGCCTCCCGGCTTCAAGCGATTCTCCTGCCTCAGCCTCCTGAATAGCTGGGATTACAGGCACCACCACGCCCAGCGAATTTTGTATTTTTAGTAGAGACGGGGTTTTACCATGTTGGTCAGGCTGGTCTCGAACTCCTGACCTCGTGATCCACCTGCCTCGGACTCCCAAAGTGCTGGGATTACAGGCGTGAGCCAGCAGGATTTTTAAATAGATAAAATAAAAGATGCTTTTATCTGAATATCTAGAAAGTCCATATTTTGCTTTCATATTAGTTTCAGATAAAATCCTAACCAATTTAAGCCTTAAACACAGGAAAATGCATCTCAGTTTAATATTAATAAAATAGTGGAGTAAAGTAATGTTTAGGTTGCTTATTCTGAGACAGCATATGTTTGTGTGGGCAGGGGTAGGGGGTGAAGATGAAGGGTATAATTGAGCCTAATCAGTAAGTTAATGTTTTCAATGTGCTATTACTCATTGCCAGTGGGAAGTTATTGATCAACTGAATCTGTGTTGTAGCAGTTGGTAATCCAATTCTAAAGTTGTGAGAGGAAAAAAATTTTGAGTAGGCATTTACTGAGGCAAAAATGAAATGGTTTTTTTAAAAATATGGTTCTAAATTTCCTTTTTTAGACTTCAAAATAAGAATAATTAAAACAGTATCTACCACATTTGGCAAAATAGTTGGAATTCTATAGACTTTCTTCACAGAAATACTATAAAGAATATGTTAATAAAGATATTAATCTGAATTTTATTTCTTAACTAAAAATATTAAAGCCATTAAGGGATTTAGCACAGATATTTAAAATTCTGAATCTGTGTTCAGGAAAAATAAAAAACCAGCCTCGTTTTATAGAATCTGCATATGATATCATAAAACTGTGTGGGTAAGTTATCTTTCTTTAACTTTATTTTGTAGTAACATGGAGTATTTTATTATGTTTCTTATATCACAAACATACTATGCATTATAGTGTAGCAGATTGCTACAGAACTCAGAAAACTTCAGTTCATCACTTGATTCCAGCAGTTGGCATTTCAGGTAATCAGTTTGCTGTGGTCTGAGATTGCTAGCCACAAGAGATTAAATTCTAAGTATATTGAAATGCTTTCTTGTAATTAGTTACTCTGAAGTAAATGCTAAATATTAGATGTAACCAAGGAATTATAGTATTTTCAGAAAATCTTTGAGTGAACTTATGGATATGCTTATAATTTCAGTCTAGTTTTTTTCTCTGTCTTTAGAAAATTTGAGTCTCAAAGATATATTAGGTTATATATGTCATGTTTTATTTGATTTTTGAAATTTGAGTGAAGAATAAAAATCACCAATTACATTTGATATATATTTTAAAAATGTAAGTTAGAGATAAGAATTGTAAAATTAACATGTCTTATTCTTTCTACTGTTGGTTCTCTAACAAGTTCTGGGAACTGAGTATATGGTGCTTCCTTGGTGCCACATAGTGGCTAATCTAGGTATATATTAAAATATCCATTTTTAGTTGCTAAATGTAATGTAGTAGGGAGGAATAAACCTTTTGGACAATTTTACCTTCTGAACCTTTCTACCAATTTAACTTTTTAGATAGCAATTATTTATTTTAATATACAAATAATATATAAATAATAGAAAGGTTTAGTAGAATTATGCATACATGATAGGTTCTAACTCTCACTTTTAGATTTACTAGCAATATTTAATATGTAACCACTTAAATTTGTATTTTCTGATATCTGAATAAAATAACCAAAATAATATATTGAATGCCTATACCATGCCTTGCTTTTTAATAGACAGGTACAATGGAAAATAAATGGTTGCTCTGGTGTTTTCAAGGAACAAATTGGAAATTATTATTATATTGACATACGATTATATAATGTAAAACTTTTAAATCTCAAGGCTTTGCAAATCCTAGAATGCCAAGTTTATAAGAATTGCTTTCAACATCTATGCTCCTACAGAGCTCTGCACAAAGTTCATTGTCTATGAAAACTTGTGACTGAATGTTTAATTGTATAATATGATAAATCCTTTTTAGCTGCAGTCTTCATTTTCCCTCATATTTCATAATTATTCACATTGTTAATTTTTTCTACTTTTCTAATTTCAGCTTATGTCTAGATAACTTCTCTATGCCTCACCCTCACTTGTTTCTCTTTTCAAGACATTTTTGGAAGATAAAAACAATAAAAATAGAATAATAATGTCAAGCCTTTCCGTTTTGGCCTCCAAGTAGTATGGTTTTCTCATGGCATTAGAAGTATAATGCTAATTTTTTCATAAACTTTTTGGTTGAAAACTCTTCTGATGCTTTATCTTATAGATTGTGTCCTTTGCTAGAAAAGGAAAAAGTTTGGGAACAAAAAGTACTAGTTTTAGAGTCCTTCACTTTAGAGATCCAAAAAGCAGCTGGATAACAAATATAATACATTATTTGTTTCAAATGACAAATTCTGACAAACACTAGAAATGAACTTCTGTGGCATTTATAAAATTGTCCTTTTTGTAGCTTGCTCTTCAGATATCTTTAAATTCAAATTGGCCTGTATATTGCTATTGATACATCCTCATGTGATAGTTCTCAATACCATTTTCAACTACTTCTTTAATTTTTCTTGAAAAATATGAATTGGCCAAGCGCGGTGGCTCATACCTGTTAATCCCAGCACTTTGGGAGGCCGAGGCAGGCAGATCACGAGGTCAGGAGATGGAGACCATCCTGGATAACACGGTGAAACCCCATCTCTATTAAAAATGCAAAAAAAATAGCTGGGCGTGGTGGCAGGCACCTGTAGTCCCAGCTACTCGGGAGGCTGAGGCAGGAGAATGGCGTGAACCCAGAAGGCAGAGTTTGCAGTGAGCTGAGATCGTGCCACTGCACTCCAGCCTGGGCGACAGAGCAAGACTCCATCTCGAAAAAAAAAAAAAATATATATATATATATATATATATATATATATATATATATATATATGAATTAAAAGTCCTGTCTCTATAGGATATATTGTACTTTAAATAGTACAGGAGGTTCAAATTTTGAACTCATGAAATGTCAAGATAGTTTATATATTTAAAAAATAACTTTTATATTTTCTTTGAAATTTAGACTGACCCAGGTTTATGTGCTGGATCTTTTATGATTTATAAATAAGTTACTTTAAAATAACTTTGGTTATAGAAGTTGTGAAATGCGATTCTAATATAATTAATATTTGTTAACTTGAATGCCTTAATGTCTGCAAAACCATTCTGTTATTTTGTGGATAGTTACTAACCCAGCTAATAAGCAAAAATGCACTGATCTCTAAGAATGAATAAACTATCGATTTTGCCTAGAGTTTTGAAAATTTCAGGAAAAGCTCTTAACCAGTTTTTAAGTTACTGGTGAGCTTAGATCTATGGTTTGTTCCAGATTATCCAATGTCGTACTAACTTTGATATAATTATAGCTATAATTTATTACTATTTTGACCTCTAAGAGAAAGAGGGTTCCTAAGTTTTTTTATTCATGAAGCGATGCAAAATGGCTTTCTTAACCTATGCCTTTTACATCCATTTCTTAATTCTTATAATTAATATAATATTTTCTTTTTGGTCAGTTCATTAGAAACATTTTTTTTCTTTTTTTCTTTTTGATGGAGGCTCGCTCACTCTGTCGCCAGGCTGGAGTGCAGTGGCGCAATCTCAGCTCACTGCAACCTCCGCCTCCAGGATTCTAGCGATTCTCCTGCCTCAGCCTCCCGAGTAGCTGGGACTACAGGTGCACGCCACCATGCCCAGTGAATTTTTGTATTTTTAGAAGAGACGGAATTTCACCATGTTGGCCAGGATGATCTCAACCTCTTGACCTCGTGATCCACCCACCTCGGCCTCCCAAGGCGCTGGGATTACAGGTGTGAGCCACCGCACCCGGCCCCAGAAACATTTTTAATAGTTACAATACTATTAAACTGTAATACTGTGTATTACAACTGGTAGTTAATAATTGTCAATCCCCAGGGCTAAAGAATAGAATATTATTATTAATTTATTCTTTAGAAATGAACTCTCCCCCACTTACAAATGATGCTTCAATTAAAGACTTTATTAAAAATTACTGTTACAATTCTTCATTCTTATTGAAGCTTGCCATTTTTGAAAAAGAAAGTGTCGGATGAAATAACTTATGCTGAAGATACTGCTAATTCAATTGCACTTCTGGGTAAGTTAAGATTTCCTTAAGGTATAGGGATGTAACATACGACAGGTCCTACTGACAAGGGAATATCTATTTTCCCCAAGTTTCACTAAGAGGACTCCTTCTCCATGTCTAGGATCTTCTCTTGTTAGTGAATTAATCACAGTGTGCTTGGTGATAATTCTGGTATTGTATTCTGTTCAGGTTGTTTCGTGATACCAATAAAAGTCCATCTTCTAAGTACAAGGACAGGCTGATAATGTAGTTTGATGAATTATTATTTAGTTTAATGAAGTGTTTGTTAACTATTTTTGTAAATCAGAAAGTGTACATACCCTTTTTAAATAATCACAAAAACATTTCAACTTTGAACTCTAATATTGAATTGCTGCAATCATAGAATTATTCATTAAATGATCTAAAATTTTAAATCAAATCATAAAATAGCATATTAAGAACTTCAGCATAATGCACATAAAGATGCAGATGCCTATATTTTGTACACAAAAATATGAAAAATATCATAAAAGGGTAGGCACTTATGTATGGGTTATCACTTGATTTTCTAGAGAAAGAAAACAATTTCCTAGGAAACTAGATCAGGGAAACACTGGCTCTTTGAGTCAGCTCCTGGGACATGATGGCATGTTCCCAAAACAAATCCTACATTAAATCTATACTTACTAGTTTAGGTCTTTATTTGTACAGGAGGAATAAAAGATACACAATTGATCCAGTGCATTTTTAAAAATATTTACGGAATAATGATGTTCCCAGCATTATACTCCATATAGAAAGATGTTAGAGATTCAACTGGAATGAAGAAAAAAAGGATTTTTATTTTTAACATAGACACTAACCCTTTTATATCTCAGTAGGTTTTATAGTTTTTAGTTACTTTGGGAAAACTACCTAGGGTTCACCTACTCTATATCCTAGAGTAGGTGAAGGTGTTGTTGAGATTAGGTTAAACATGAAGGGGGCAATTTAAAGAAAAACACCTTAGGAAGCAGGCAGGTTCAGAAATATGGGAATTTTTAATTATGTGAATCTCTATCATCAGCAGAAATTTACAATGAGAAGCCAACCCAAAAGAGGACATGGTAGTATTAACAGATAAAAAGTGTAGTTTTTGTTGGTAACATTATTTTTTAAAATACCCCTGTTGCCATTATTTTTAAATATTGCTTCCAAGAGTGTTGACAGTCACTTGTATTATAAATACATGGCTCACTTTTTACTGAGTGTCAACTTATTCTTTGCTTAATGACTGGTACCCTGCCTGCAGAACATGTTACTATCTCATATGACAACAGTATGAACTCTTAACTTTAAATGAGCTTCCTTCGCTGATTACTGACTGCGAGTACTGCTCTTCTGTTTCTTGGTTTTTTTAATGGCTGGAAACATTAATTTAAACTAAAATAATTGTATATAAGATGAAATGTTGAACAAAAACTCTTCATGATTTTAGTTAGAACTTCCAGTTTCTACTACGTACTAATAAGTTATATTACATTTTCTTCCAAATGATACATAGATATTTCTGACTCAGAGGCAAGATTCTGGAAATGGATGGGGGAAGAAGTTGGTACTCTGCCCTGGGATTATGAAACAGGAAGCTATGATAAATTATCTAAATTTACAGGAACTAAAACAGTGGAAAAGCAGACGAAAGACCCTAGAATTTCCCATAAGCCTGCATATTTGGATAGTCTTGTTGGAAAAGCTTAGTTGTTCTTGTTGCCTAATATGTTTTAAAACCTAAGTAGTGATTTTGCAACTCCAAAAGAACAGTCCGAAAAATAAATAAAATTTAGAGTTAGAATAATCTTAAAACTGTCTTTTAAGTGATATCTTTTGCAGAGATTCTCCTGAAGCTAGGGTCAGGCTTTCCTTTGTGCTTCCTCCTTCTTTCCACTTGCCACCCCACTTGCTGACCACCTCCAGAGATGAGCGTCTTGCAAGGGCTAATGCAAAAGAGGAATTCCTAATTATTCTTTTACTCTCAGAGAGTCCAACCAGTTCTAGTTTAGTTCTAAGGTCGATATTACTGACTACCGCTGTCCTTGGGCATTCAGAGAACCTGGATCATTTCCAGAGTCCCACAGATCATTTTCAGATACCCTTGGGGATCATGTTTATAGGACTTCAACAGAGTAGATGCAATCCAGTTTGAAATACAGGCTGAAGCCAATTTAATTGTAGTTTAGATATGACTGAAAACGAACCTTCCTATTCGCCAACCCCATGCAGACAGCTTGAACATAAAACTATTACCCTTGCATGTGGGGCAGCTGCTTAAAAACTCACTCTCTTCCAGTCTGCCAACAAACTGAAGAGCAAAGTTCACCTGGAACTTCTCTAAGCAAAGAATGCATTAGTAAAGGCAAAAAATTACTGACCCTCTAGTTAGGGAGAAAAATGCTAACCCATATCTTGTCAAAATAATAATAGTATCTAACACATGTAGAACTTACAACATGCTAGATGCTTTTCTCAGCCCTTTTCTCATATTAGCTAATTTAATCCTCACAACAATCTTAAATGTGGTAACTATTGTTATACCTGCTTAATAGATGAGAAAAGTAAAACACAAGTTTACATGGGTAGTAAATGGCATAGCCAGGATTTAACCTTAGACAGTCTGGTTCTAGCATTTGTATTAATAATCATCATTCTTTCTTCCCTAGAAAGGAGAGGCTGAATTGATTGAGGGGCCAAATGTATAAGGATGGATTCAGGGTACTGTTTATATGTATGTATGTGTGTGAGCATATGTATAAAAATATGCATATAAATTGAACATGATCCAGTTTGAATCTCTGAGAATATTTTTAATAATCATCATATTATTAACATTTTATGCCTAAATTCTACAAATAAGCTTATGACAGTGTTGTTAAATAGCACCTGTTTATCTTTCTGGCAGGTGACTTAATGAAAATACCAAGTTCTGAATTGAGGATACAAATTTGTAAGTGTATTGTTGATTTTTATCATGCAGAACCACCAAAGAAGCATATTCCAGGTGAAGTTTACAATGGTCTTTCAGTGATAACTTGTGTATGTAGAAAACAGAACATTCTCATATCTCTTTGAATTTGACAGACACAGTGGGCTCATAAATGTAACACATTAAAAAGAAAACTTTTTTGTAGTCTTGAGCTCTTTGGTCATCTTTTGAAAGTTATATATGTATTTTTCAGTTTTTGATTTGCATATTTTTATTCTGATGCTAAATATGAACAAATTTGTAAAGTGATGCCCAATTTAGTTTATTAATAATTATAAATGTTACTATTATGTTATTTAATACCATTGATAAAATTATTTTTTAAACACTTTATAATTATTTATAATATCTGCCCCCACTCAGTTAAATGTTAAGCTACCAATGCCAGGGCCATTCTCCATCCTGTTTGGGAAAATAGTTCTATGTGTTATAGCTAAGGGACCTTAATATATAGTGGTAAATGAGCCACACTGAATTGGTTGGGACCAAGACAGTGGCACGTGCACTGTGAGGATATAATGTTAAGATGTACTTCTTACCTTCATAGTTTCTGTAATTTCTAATCAATCTAGGAAGGGAGAGAGGATATAAACAATAATTTCTTAAGTTATATGATTCTTAATATAGGTGGAAATAAGTGTCTGTGGTAGTTCAAAAGAAAGATTATTTAAGACTAAGGAAAAATGGGAACCAGAAGTCAGTTAAAAAAAGACAATTTAAAAAAAAAAAAGAAATTCAGGGAAAACAGAAGGAAGTCAAAAAGTAAAACAAAAAAATGGAACAGCACCTAAACTAGAGAAATGAATAAGGAGATTATTAAATGTCCAGTTTGAACTGTTGATGAGATAGATGGGGAAGGAGTGTCTTGGTAGATAAAAGATATTGGATACTAAAAGCAACAGGACCAGAAATACAGGTTTGGAATCCACCCAAATAGAGTTGAAAATTGAAGCCACCAGAATGGTTGAGTTTGCCAAGAGATAAAACATATAAGCAGCAAGGCATCAAGAATGACATGGAGAGTGTCCATATTGAGGTTTGGAAAAAATGATTCAAAGAAATTGGCAGTGAAGGGAGGCTCAAAGAGGAGGAAGAAAACCTAAAGACTGCCATGTCTTGTGTGCCAGTGAATCAAATATTTGACAAAGGAGGAGAAAGTTGTCTCAGTGTCAAACGCTGCAGTTTTCTGTAATGGAAGAGTTAAAAGGCCAAGTTAATGTGACACTTGAAAAGTTGTAGTTAAATCTTTGACAGATCTATTGATATAAAGTGGTCAGGGCAGATGCAGGATTAAAGAATCAGAGGATTGTGAGAGTAGAGGCACTGGATTTGAGAGTGAGAGAGTAGTGGCAGTTCATGAATGCAGACATATCTTAAGATCAGATGGTGAAGAAAAAGAAAGAAGATGGAGAACAGCTCAGCTAGTGCAAAGTCAGAGAAAGGTTATTTGGGTTTTGTTGTTTTTAGGATAGGAAGAAATCACATTTGTAGGCAGAGGAGCTAGAAGCTGGTAAGAAAGAAATGGGAAGGTGAAATTCTCAAAGAAAGCACAAGAGGATGGAATTAAGAGCACAAGCTTAGAGTTAACCTTGGCAAAATACAGACGCCCTTCAAAGAAAGGGAAACCAGTGGTGTAGGACTTAAGAAAAAGGAGTATTATGGGGCAAAGACGTGAGGTTGATTTGGTCAGTCTCTGAAAATTAGGAGTCAGTGCTCTCACTATCACACAGTTGGTTTCAAGTGATGGGTATGGCCAGACATCCGGGACCACGGCTGAAAAGTCCTCAGTATGGCAGTTGAAAGAGACATAGCCCTGGAGACAGGAATTAAGTCCATGAGCTTTAATGGTGTTATATCCCTCTGTTAAAATGTACCTGCAATAGAAAAAGATACAGTAAGTATAAAGTACATTTTGGTCCATCCATATGATAGACTATTATGCACATAAAAATCATTATTTTAGAAAACACTTTATAGGATGGGGAAAAGCTTACAATAAAAGTTTTAGTGAGTACAGTAGAATATAAAATTCTGTATACTAGTATGTTGTTAAAATTGTATGCATACATTAAAAATATCACAAGAAATATATGAAAATGTTAATGTTATCTCTAGATTATGAAAATATAGGCAATTTTTACCTTCCTCTTCTTACTTTTTAAATGCTTTTTATAATTCATGAGGTGAGTAGCTAGAGCATATCATAGAAAGCTCATCACAGCATTGGACAGGGCCTTGTCCACAGCCAGAGATCATATTTACAAAGATAAGACAAACTGACAGATACCTCAGAACTAGGGCAAAGTTAAAGAATCTAGTTGGACTCAAAAATCAAAAAGTCAGGGTGTTAGATAAATGAGATCACTAAGAAAAAATAAAGCCTCATCTCAGTAAATGAGGACCCTTTGGTGTTTATTTAATCCCTCTAGTTGAATGTAATTAGGTATACCTGCATCAAAAGGAGAGATAGTATTTCTCACAGGTGCTAAGACAGAAGGAATTTTTATAAGACATGTCACCAAGAATCAAACTTCCCTAAAATACTATTAAATTCACTCACAATTATCAGAGTAGCATTACATTTTTCACCTCTTATTTTATTGCTGACACTACGTAATTGTTGTCCCTTGAAAGTACTGAAGTAATGCATTGAACCTGAACAGTGAAACTGACTAGTGAAAACATTCAGTATTTGTCATTAAATCATTTTCCATTATTGAAAGTCATATCTACTGACAAGAAATATTGTTCTTTTTTAGAATTTAGGATGTTTCCAAAATTCATCGTCCTATTTTAAATACTACACCAGGGATCAGCAAACTCTGGGTCCCAGGTCAAACTAGGCCTACTGAAAACAAAATTGTGTTAGAACACAGCCATGTCCACTTATATTTGTACTGTTTATTACTGCTTTCTTGCTACAATGTGCTATAGAGTTGAGTAGTTGGCAAGAAACCTTATAACCTGCAAAGCTTAAAATACTATCTGGCCCTTTACAGAAAAAATGTGGCCCATCCCTATGCTGCGCAATTTTTAAATTCCATATACTTTTAAAAAGTTTTTCTTGCTGTTGCTTAATAATAAATTACTCATTCTTTTGTCTTAATGATCATTCTGTGAGATAACTGTATGTATTTATTAATGAATTGTTGTTAGGTTACCAGCAAGCGAGTTCATCATACAAGATTCAAATGGCTGAAGTTGGAGGATTAGCAAAAACAATGGTCCAGTCAATGACCTTGCTTGAAAATCAACTTGTTGAGAAACTTTGGGTACTTAAAGTTCTGCAGCATCTCTCAACTTCTGGTTTGTATATTATTAAGTTTAAACACTTCATTGTCAACTACTTTTGTTTATGTCTAAAAATGTCAATATTGTAAAGCACAAATAATTTTTAAAATTTATTTTCAGAAGTTAATTGTACTATAATGATGAAAGCACAAGCAGCCAGTGGAATCTGTACTCACCTCAATGACCCAGATCCCTCTGGACAGCTTTTATTTCGTTCATCAGAAATACTTTGGAACTTGCTGGAAAAATCTTCAAAAGAAGAAGTCATACAACAGCTTAGTAACTTGGAATGTTTGCTGTAAGCGTATGTGGTTAGATAGGAATGTTCTTTTAATCTTAAAATGACAGCCAGTGACATAACTAACATCTTTGTTTGAATCTGTGTTCAATTATGTTTTAGATTCATGTAATGGCTATGTTTCAGGACATCTTTTTTGTTCCATGGTATAAATGAATCTGCACAATAACAAGCCACACTTTTCTATGTGGAAGGCTCTTGAAGTAGCTTCTTAACACTAAAATATAACTTGGAATATAGATAAAGTAAAATTAGACTTTAGAAGAACTATTTCATTTATTTATCCAGTGAATCTATTATTGAGTGCTTACTATCTCCCAGATATTGCAGTAAGCATTAGCAACAAAATGTGCGTAAGCCTTCAAGTTGCTTCTTCACTTATTCAACAAATAATTGTCTGCTCTATGCCAGCTTCAGTATTAAGCCATAGAAATACCACTGAAAACAATATAGATATTGTCTCTGCTTTCGTGGAATTTACATTGTGCTAGGAGGGATGGACAAGTAAATAGACAACTAAAAGAGAACATACTAAATGTTATGAAACAGATTATTGTAAGATGCTACATGTTCTTCAGAAGAAGATCAGTCAGCACATTTTTGTTTGCAAGTGACTAAAAACCCAAATGACCAAAGCAATATAGAAAATTTATGGCTTATTTAACTACAAAGTCAAGGATAAAACTGGTTTCATGTGCAGCTTTATTCAGGGATCAGCAGATACTAGGACTTCGTCCCTCCTCTCTCTACATTGTCTTCCATGGTGCTGGCTTCACACCCAAGCCTATGTAGTAAGACCTAAGAAGTCTACGATCACATCATTTCAACCTCAAATCAAGCAGAAGAGAAACCTTGCTATCCTGAAGGCTCAGAGAAAAGTCTTTGAATTGAGTCCAGTTTGGCCCTGAATGGTCTAATATTGGTCAAATGCCTGTTCCACAGTGATTTATTAGTGCCAAAAGAAAAAATGCTCTGACTGGCGAAAAGGCAGCTGAAGGCAGCCTCACAGGAGCAAAAGTCAGGAAGGAGTAAATGCCTAAATAAAAATAAGAATGCTGTTCTTATAAAAAGGGCAAGTAGGTCCCAGGAGGCAAAGCAACAAATATCTACTATTAATACAAGGGAACCTAACTCAGAGTTGGAGAATTAATAACTGCTTCCTAATGAACTCAAGTCTAGTAACTGAATGACAAACAGGACTTGGTAACAGAAAAGTTTTGCATGCGGAGAGCATCCTAGACAGGGAAAACAAGTGAAAATATAATTAGCAAAATCAGAAAACTAAAATTCAGTATGATGAGAGCAGAAGGAACAGGCTACAATGGTGAGAGATGAGGCTAACAATGTTATCAGGGACCATAACATGAAAGGTCTAATAAGCCTTGTTAAGGAGGTAGGACTTAATCCTAAGAACAAAGAATAGTCTTTAAATGGTTTTACAAAGGAAAATGACATGATTGAATGTGTTATAGAGCTGTCACTTTGACCACCATGTGTAATAGACTGGTTTAGTGGATTCTTATCTGGTACATAGAGGATTAGAGGCAGATTTGGAAGTGTAAAAAATATTAGAAATATGTTCAAATGAATAGTATAATATAAAAAGGGAGATTTTGTTGATAGACATTCAGGAAGTATTTTCATAAAAGTGTGTGTTTTAGTTTGAGCTGCTATAATAAAGTACCGTAAACTGGGTGGTTTATAAACAACAGAAAGTTATTTTTCAGTTTGGGAGGCTAGAATTCTGATATCAGGGTGCCAGTGTGGTTGGGTTCTGATGAGGGTGCTCTTCTGGGTTGCATACTGCTGATCTCTTGTATTCTTACATGGAGGAAAGAGAGCAAGACAGCTCTCTGGAGTCCCTTTTATAAGGGCACTAATTCCATTCATGAGGGCTCATTACCTCCCTAAGGCCTCACTCCTAAAACCATCACATTGGGGGTTAGGATTTAAATATATGAATTTTGGAGGGACGCAAACATTTAGTGTATAACAATATAGTTTTTAAAATATGATTTTACTTTCTAGGGCTTTGAAGGAAGTATTTAAAAATCTGTTTATGAGAGGTTTCAGTCATTATGACCGTCAGCTTAGAAATGACATATTAGTGATCACTACAATTATAGCTCAAAATCCTGAAGCACCAATGATTGTAAGTATGAATCAAATTGCATTAATTTTAATTGTGGAAGTGGTGGGCTTGGGTGAAAGAAGTCCTATATTATGTTGGAATATTTGTGTATTTTCTTGTAATGCTAAGTTATGCTGTAATATCTTGATGGTCACCAGTGTGCTTATCACTCTGCCAATTCTTCTTTGCAATCCTTTGGAAATTTGGAATCTTCCTCATATTGTGTGATTTATACATGTATTTACCACTTATGATGCTTTTCTTTCCTTCCTGATGATTTGAGTTTCCATCTGGCATCATTTCTCTTTCACTGGAAGAACTTTGTTTACAATTTCTTGTGGTGCAAATCTACTGGCTGCTGGCAACAAGTTATCTTAGTTTTCTTTTATCTGAAAATATATTTAATTCATCTTAATTCTTAAAGTCTATGCTCATTGAATATAGAACTCTAGGCTGAAAAATGTTTTTGTTTAGCATTTCAAAGATAAAGTTCTGCTGTCTTATGGAGTCTGTTGTTTCTGATGAGAAATATTCATTGTGAGGTTCCATGGTGTAATGGTGAGCACCCTGGACTCTGATGAGAAGTATCCATTATTTCAAATCGTTATTCCCCTATGTATAATATATCATCCTTTTCTCTCACTGTTTTCAAGATTTTAACTCTATCTTTGGTTCCTAGCAGTTTCGAAATGATGTGCTAAGGTGAGATCTCCTTTGTATTTGTTCTGCTTAGGTTTCATAGAGCTTCTTGGATATATAAATTTAAGTCTTTGAGAAGATTTGGAGAACTCTTGGCCATTATTTCTTCAAATATTTTTTCAGCCCCATTCTCTCTCCCCACTTCTTCAGAGGCTCTGATTACTTTTATGTTTGACTTTTTGATATTGTCCCACAGGTTTGTGAGGCTCTGCTCACTTTTTTCAATCATTTTTCTCTCTATTCTTCAGGTTGGATAATTTGTATTAGTCTATATATTTAAATTCACTGACTTTTTTATTTCTGTCATCTCCATTCTGCTGTTAATCTCATCCAGTGCATTTTTACTTCAGATATATTTTTCAGTTTTAGAATTTATTTTTATTCCTTTTTATAGTGTCTCTCCTGAGAGTTCTTATCTTTCTATTCATTATGAGCATCTTTACTGTAGATTCTGGTATACTCCTCTGAAGAATTTTTAATAACTACATATTTAACTTAGCTGTACTCATCCCTTTTTGAGGTATGGCAGCCCAAATCTTAATTCAGTTCTTGCCTGGGATGCTTGAGTATTCTCTGCACTTGTGTGGTTCAGCTATCAGCCAGATATTTGGGAAGAGTTTGTACACAGAATTTAGCATTCTCTCTCTCTGGCTCTCTCCTTTATGGGATTTCTCCCTTCACTTTCCAATGGCTGTGGTTGCCTCTGCCCTCTGGTTCTTCAGGCCACTAAGACCACAGGGTTACTCTGAGTTTTAGCATTTCCACGAGGTGTAGAATACGGCCTGCTCTCAGGCCAAAAGCCTTTTTTTTTTTTTTTTTTTTTTTTTTTTTGAGACGGAATCTTGCTCTGTCGCCCAGGCCGGAGTGCAGTGGCGCGATCTCAGCTCACTGCAAGCTCCGCCTCCCGGGTTTGCGCCATTCTCCTGCCTCAGTCTCCTGAGTAGCTGGGACTACAGGCACCCGCCACCACACCCGGCTAATTTTTTCGTATTTTTAGTAGAGACAGGGTTTCACTGTGTTAGCCAGGATGGTCTCGATCTCCTGACCTCAGGATCTGCCCGCCTTGGCCTCCCAAAGTGCTGGGATTACAGGCGTGAGCCACCGCGCCCGGCCCCAAAAGCCTTTTTTAAAATGGGAAACTCGTGTAGTGCCATTCCCTTCTACAAAATTCTGACATCCTTCCAGTGTCTGCTTACTCTTGGTCACAAGATAGTTTTATTTGTCACCAGCAGGAGAATTTCTCTCGGAGCTACTACTCATCTGTACCAGAAGCTGAGCCTTCACATATTTTATAATTAAAAATCATTGAATGATTGAAATTATTTAATAGAGATCCTTGGCAACAATATTCACAAGTCAGTCACGTAAGTTCTAGTTGTGCTACAAAGAACTGGCTGTGACGACCTCAGCCCACTAACAGTGGACGTCAAGTAGTCCCAAGAGTCATGGAATTCATGCTGTGCAAATAGGGAAACAGTGCTACATAGTATCCTAGTTAAAGCTGCAACTTATAGGTAGACCTTTGTTTCTCTAGAATCCCCTGGTCAGGTAGTAATTTCTCATTAGTGTCCTTGCAAACATTCAGATGAATTTCACGAATGTGAGTCAAAGGAAATAATATCTTCAGCATCTAAAGAAACCATATAGATCCTAAAGTAATGGGGCTATAAAACTACAAGCTCATAAGCCCAGGGTTTGCCCCTGTAAACTCTCCCTAATGTGCAAAATCCAACTAGGATATCTCTGTCAGGAATGCTGATATGCTAAAATGTTTGCAACTCTGGTGATTCTTCAGGGCTTTTCATGCTAAGTAGGAACTACTTTATTATCTCTTGACCAAACATTTGACATAACAAGAATGGTTGGGGTAGAAGTGGAAGTGTTTAAGAAGAAAAGCTGTTGAGAATAACTGGATTTTCCTCCCTTACTGTGTCATTTGAAGTATAGGTAACGAATTATAGAAGTAACTATAAAGACCTAATATACTTTGGATCCTTAACAATTTTAAACAGACTATTCATAGAATAATATAAAATATTTCTTAGAACCTACAGAAGTAAGTTTAAAATTAAATAAATCTGGCTTATTTAATTTTAAATAAGCTTATCTGGCTATATGTTTTTATTTTTTGCCTCACTCTTTATTACTATTCATGCTTTATGAATTCAAATGAATGACAGTAGGAGAATTTGATAAATGTACTTAAGTAGTAAATATGAGCATCTGCATCATAACTTTCATCTTATTCATTCATCTTTCTGCTTATTTTATGTATTTATATTAGGAATGTGGCTTTACCAAGGATTTGATACTGTTTGCCACCTTTAATGAAGGTAAAAAGAATAAAACTTTAAACTTCTTATAATTATCTTGATAAGTCTTGTACAACATTTAAGCTTTCATTTTACTTTTTTTCCCTCACAGTTAAAAGTCAAAATCTTTTGGTAAAAGGACTTAAGCTTTCTAATTCCTATGAAGATTTTGAGTTGAAGAAATTACTATTCAACGTAATTGTGATCTTATGTAAAGATTTACCTACTGTACAGGTAAAGAGTAATCAAGGCAGGAAAATCAATAAAAATTGTCTTACTTTGTAGTATAACTATTTTAAAGTCTTGACTGTAAATATTTTATCGGTTCATATATTTACCACAGAAAGCAGTAAAATCTTACTGGCCTGAATTTTAGCTTTTAAATTTTTTCTTTGCTTATCTGTTAGTAAACAGTGAAGTACTTAAATTTAAACCACATAAACCAGAGAAAAATAGTAGAACCTAAGAGATTTAATAATACAGTTAGATCTCTTGAATTAGACAGCATAAAATGAAAGAAGCTTCACATAGGCCCATTCCAGCCTAATAATCTGTCTCTGACCATAACAAGGACTGATTTAATGCTGGAGAAAATTATTAACCTCTGTGATGCCAATCTCAAACTCTTATGAACCTGCTTTTTCATCACACAAACCTAATGTCTTTAATCACTTTTACTCTCTATGAATTTATCTTAATACTTTGTTTCCTGCATAACAGCGTGATATAATTTGAAAAATATTGGAACTGAATTTCACTTCTGGCTTATCACCTACTAGCTATGTGGCCTTAGAAAAATTACCTCGTCTATCTGTGGTTCATTTCCTCCTCCTGTAAAGGAAAGATTATAATGCTTCAGCTCTGCTCACAGGTCTATCGTGAAGTTGCTATGAAGGCTTTTTAAACTATAAAGTGACAGTAAATGTATTATTAACAATTCTGTTTAGTTAGTTACTGCATTAAGTGAAATTTCCATTTAATCTAAAACTCTACCAAGCTCCAAGGATTACTATGAAAAAGAAGTAGGAATTCAGTCTATCAACTTCACTACCAATAATAGAAAGATGGGGTAGTCTAGCAGTAAAGGCTTTAGTCAGACAGAATCTCAGTGCTACCGCTTTCTAGCTATGTGGCATTAAATGGGTTGTTTGATTTCTCTAAATCCCAGGTAGCTCAACTTCAACATGGGGATAACACCTACCTCGAGATTATTATGAGCATTTAACTGAGCTGAACATTTTCTTAGTAATGCAACTTTAAGGAATATATATATTTTCAAATGCTCAGGAAAAGAAAAGTTGTCTTTATAATTATAACTTTATTATTTGTGACAAAAAAATACATACTGTGTAGAACCTAAATGTATTTTCCAAAATGCAAATGGAAAATCATTTGGAAAATTATTCCATAAAGTATGGTTTATTATTCCAATACAGTATTATATAAATATTAAAATTAGACCTATAAAGATAATAAAATTTATACTACAGTTTATAAGTCAATTCTAATTAATTGAACAACACTTTATAGGCAACAGAGCCAAGTAGCACAGATTATGGTGAGGAGCTTCTTAAAACACTTTGTGAGCGGTGAAATCAACAATTTTTATGTGTCACATAATTTGTGGTCCAGTAATATTACTAGTAATGATAATGAATATGTACACTATCATTTGCAATACACAGGGGTGTTTTTTGAAACATTATATACTTAATTCTAGCAAGAATGTTAGAACTAGTAGTTATTCCTGTTTTCTCAACTCTAAATCTTGCATTCTTTTCACATGGACTAGTAAGGAACTAGAAAAATTAATTGTTTTTGTTAAAATCTTTATAGAATAATGCCAAATTAAAAGAAAATTAAATATAGCATATGGTGTTTTATTCTCTTGTGAATCATAAATATGTATCCATCAGAATCAGCTGTATTAATTCTGTTGTCATAATAGCTATGCATTTTAATCTCATTTTTATTAAAATGATGGGTTCAATAAAATTTTAAAATACTAGGCATGTAATGAAACATGGCTTGTGACCTAACTGACATTTATTTGGTAGAATGTTTATGTAAGTACTGTTGCATGTGGTTAAATATTCACTGTAGTCATTACCTCAGACAAAATTCTTTTTTATGGTACACAACTGAGTCTGTGAGATATTTCCTTTTAAAAAAAGAGTGAGGAAAGAGATGTCAGCACTTGCCCCAAAATATTCTATGTTTTATTGTACGTTAAAGTAAAATACGTTATACGTTTTATTATACGTTTTATTATACGTTAAAATATCCTATGGTTTTATTATAAGCAGGAACTACATTACATATATGAGCAGCAAAAACAAAAAATTAATACATATTTTATATTATTGTCAGGGAGTACATACCTCAGAAAAGAGGATTATAACTTATTTAATTTTTGGTGTTTTTTTTTTGGTACCTATCATAGATTGGGGTTATTTTATAAAGGAATTATTTTGAAATAATCCCCAATAAAACATCAAAATGTAAATTTTTATTTAATTGCCTTAAAGTATTTTTGGCTATGTTTCTAACAAAGTATCCTTTGTTCTTTCTCACAGCTATTAATTGATGGCAAAGTTATTTTGGCTTTGTTTACCTATGTTAAGAAGCCTGAGAAGCAAAAAATAATTGACTGGTCTGCAGCACAGCATGAAGAATTACAACTGCATGCAATTGCCACTTTGTCATCAGTGGCTCCTTTATTAATAGAAGAATACATGTCATGCCAGGGAAATGCTCGAGTCCTTGCATTTCTAGAATGGTGTGAGAGTGAAGGTGAGTGGCCCTTCAAGATTCTTGTCAAAATTCTAATCTTCATATTTCAACTGAATGCTCAGTATATGCATAGAAATAACAATGAAGTTAATTAAAGCAATGAGAAGTAAAAACACACAGACCTATCTTCTTAATGTATTTATATGTTGTTTTAAGAAAAACACAGATTTTAAAGTCAGACGTCAGTAAATGTCATAGTTGATGCACACCCGAAAGAAATCATACATGTAATTTGAATTTTTGTATTATTAGACCTATCTAAAAATTATATTTGGGAAGAAAATAAATGCTGGCAATATTTTATTTGCTTTGTTTGTTTGTTGAGACAGGGTCTCACCCTGTCACCCAGGCTATAGTGCAATGGCATGCTCATGGCTCACTACAGCCTCAACCTCCTGGGCTCTAGCGATCCTCCCACCCCAGCCTTCCCAGTAGCTGGGACTACAAGTTCATGCCACCACACGAAGCTAATTTTTGTATTTTATATAGACAGGGTTTCGCCATGTTGCCCCGGCTGGTCTCAAACTCCTGGGCTCAAGCCATCTGCCTACTTCGGCCTCTCACAGTGTTGCGATTACAGGCGTGAGCCTGAAATGAATTACAATATTGCCCAGTCTGGCAGTATTATAATGCATTCATTCAACAAATATTTATGACTGCCTACTGAGTACTAGATACTGTCTTAACTACTGAAAATACAGTTAGGCTTAAAATAAATATCCTTTTCTCTATGGAGCTTAAAATCTAGATCTCTAGCCAGAAGTAATGACTCCAGTGTGGTCTACCAAATTAGTAGAGCCCCAATTTATTTGTATTTTGTTTTAGTTCTTAGAAAGGAAATAAGAAATACATTCCTTTTTTAAAAAGTTTTATAAGGAAGATATTGCCTCTTTTCTGGTAGAAATTTTGCTCTGGCAATAATTTTGTATGATGCATTTTCATTAGATCAAGAATATCACCCATTTATGCATGAAGGAGGAAAAAATGATAGGCTTTTTATTCTCTAGTTTCTAATATGCTGAGCTACTAAATTTAGTCTTGTAAAATTATTTTCCACTGAATAAAGCAATTCTTCAGCCTATCCTTTATATCATTTATGTTTGTAGAAGACTTTAAGGCAAAAGGGGAAATGCTGGCTAATAAGAGAAAGACTGATAGCTAATAGTTATTCAGAACCTACTATCTGGTGAGCTTTAAACACCTTCCAAGTATTAAGTCATTTAGTCCTCTCAACAAACCTAGGAGGTATAGGTACTCTTATTATCCCTTTGTATCAGATGGGTAGAACTCAGTCTAAGAAGCTAAATAATTATTCCTGGCCACAAGTGGCAGAGCAAAAATTTAACCCAGGTTCTATAATAGAACCCACAATTTTAACCAACATGCAATACTCAGAACAGTATTTTCAACTTTTTTTTTTTTTAGCTAGAAACATAAAGCTACTTCTAAAAGCAGCTTTTAAAGAAAGCATAGCATAAAGAAGGGAGGATTTGCCTTGCTATTTATCAAGACCTACGATAAAGCTATAGTAATTAAAATTATGTGGTACTGGGTCATGGAGAGACCAATGGCATGGAATATATGAAAGGTTGGCTTTATGAGAGATGATACTGCCAATCAGTGAGGGAAGGGTGGTGTTGGGGCAGTTGGTCCTCCATGTGAAAAAATAAAAATTAGACCTCTTCACTTTGTTTTTTCTAAAAATCAATTGCAAAAGTAATAAATTAAAGATGTAAATATGAAAAGTCATACAGTGAAACTCTTAGAAGAAAACATGGGAAAATATCTTTTTGCTAGATATCAGTGTAGGAAAGGTTTCTTTAAAAAGACTCATGAGTTAAAGGTATAAGAAAAGATCGATGCATTTAACTACTGTAAAACGTACAAATGTCTATTTGACAAAATCTAAGTGAAATACTAATTTACAAAGTGAGAGATGACATTTATTACCCCTGTGACTGATAATAGATTAGAATCCAGGTTCATAAAGAACTCCTATATATCAATAAGAAAACAACTCAGTAGAGAAGTATACAAGGACTAGGGACTGCCATGTCACAGAGAAAACCCCAAATTTTCAAAAAACATTGAAAAACTCTAAATCCTGTTGGCAATCAGATAAATGCAAATTAACAGCAATAAACTACCATTTCACATTTAACAGATTTCGTGGGGGAAAATCAAGGCCAGGTGCAGTAGCTCACACCTGTAATCCCAACACTTTCAAGGCAGGAGGATCACTTGAGGCCAGAAGTTCAAGACCAGCCTGGGCAACATGGTGAGACCCCATCTCTTAAAAAAAAAAAGCAGCTGGTCATAGTGGCACACACCTGTAGTCCTAGCTTCTTGGGAGGCTGAGATGGGAGTATTGCTTGAGCCCAGGAGATTGAGACTTCAATGAGCTGTGATCATACCACTGCACTCTAGCCTGGGCAACAGAGCAAGACCCTGTCTCTTAAAAAAGAAAAATTAACTCATCTTATACATTGTATCTGTATAAACACCTTGGAAAACAATTTAGCACCTTTAGTAAAATTCAATGTGGATGTATCCTGTATTATTCTGGTCACATGGAAAAACTCTTCTCAATGGATATAAGAGGACATGAACCAGAATGTTTATTGTAACAGTTTATAGTAGTGAATGGATAAACTATAATTTATTTATAAAAATGAATGCTGAAACGAATTAAAATTAATAATCTAGATCTACTTGTGACAATGTGAATAATTTTTAAAATAAACATGTTGAATAACAGAAGCAAATTACAAAAGATACATATAATATGATACATTTGAGTAAAATTCCAAAACACATACTTCTATTCTGAGAATAGTAAGAGGGAAAAGGGATAATATTTTATTTCTCTAAAAAAAAACTAAAGCAAATATGACAAAATTTTAACATTTGTTTAAACTTTTGATAGATGTATAAGATATCTGATATATTTGCTTTATTTGAAATGTTTTTGTTTTAAATTATCACTTTTTCTCCACAGATCCGTTTTTCAGTCATGGTAACAGTTTTCATGGTACAGGTGGCCGAGGCAACAAGTTTGCCCAGATGCGTTACAGTTTAAGACTCCTGAGAGCCGTGGTCTACCTTGAAGATGAGACTGTAAACAAAGATCTTTGTGAAAAGGGAACAATTCAGCAAATGATAGGTAAAATATAACATGGTGGTTTACTGATGAAAGAGGAATATTTTTAATAGTAGTAGTTTTGTTTGAAATGTTTTTCCAAAATTTATTTTGTCTTTATGACTGAGAAATTCCTGAATATTTTCTTGATTTTTGTTTCATATTGCTGCTATAAATTAGTGTGTCTTATTGAAATATCATACTTACTAACCCTTTAAGCATTTATTTCTTCAACTCAAATATCATTTCATTTAGGATTATCTTTATCTTTTTTTAAAATGGTCTATTGTTATGTTTTATTCTTTTAGTAATAAAGGTCACCACTTTTGACCAAGGCTTTTGGAGCTATTTTAAAACAGGATAACATGGCATATTCCAATGCATGTGTCATAACAGAACACTGGTACATTGGTATTTACAGAAATGTACAGAGGAGTTTCTTTTCTGATATGAAATATCAGAATATCCTTGACTTTTAGCTTACACTTGACTATGCTAGAAAAGAAAATGGAAATTATGTGTATCATAGAAATACTGCATGTGTTACCCTATACGTCATCAATTAGACACTTAATGAGTATCTCATAAAATAAGTACACATAAACTCAGTGTAAAATTCAGAACCCCTAAACAAAAGCTGCTTTGCCTTTTGTTATTTAAAAAATAAATAGTTCTCTAGATCCTTGACTTTGAAAAGAGCTATTTCAGTCGTTCGTATTCAGTGATTGCTTCACTAGTCAATTATATAATCTGCTAGATGTCAATTAATTATAAATGCCTACTCAAAAAATCTTCTACTTGTTAAATTAAGGTGGTTACTCTTCCATCACTAGTGGAGTGGAGTGGTGCTCTCCAATAATAATAATAATAATATAGGAAATAGCAGGAAATCAAAGTATATTGAAAAGGAGCTAGGTGAAAACATTTACCTTTTTGCCCAGTTTGTTTGGGATGAACAAACCTGAAAGTACAGTTTATCATTCCTGTGCACATTCTGTTGCACAAAACTCAGTCTAACTAGAGGAAATCCAGGAAACGTAATCTTTCATATGTCTAGGAAGAATTCTTAATCCTGCCTGCACTAGGGAATAGGGTAGGGAAAAGGGAAAACAAATAGCAATGGTTTTTTTCTTCTTAGAACCTTTTCCCTTTAACCGGAAAGAAGCTGATCTTTATGTTAAGTTCTTAGAGGCAGGGACCTTGTCTTATTGAGTCTAACATGGCTGTGTAGTAGTAACGTGCTCAATAAGTAGTAACTAGATTTTAAATGTAAATGTTTATACACTTCCTGGGTACAGTGTACACTGCTTGGTGACAGGTGCACCAAAATCTCAGAAACCACCAATAAAGAACTTATCCATGTAACCAAAAACCACCTATTCCCCAAAAACTATTGAAATAAAATATAAATGTTTATATACTTCCTGTGTAGACACTGGGGTTACAAACATGTATAGAGCAGGACACCAAGGACCTTTTCCTTAATGAGAAAATAGAAACTACATGTATCATAGAAAGATAGCATGTGTTAGCCTACACGTCATCAATTAGACACTTAATGAGTAGGACAGAGTAAATGTTACAGAAACTAAGAGGCTTGGGTAGTTTTCAAGGCTAGGAAGTCTTAGGATTCTGTGAGGTAAAGGTAGTTTAGAGGTGGAAAAGAAGAGAAGGCCTTCAAGCAAGGAAATACCATGAACAGAGAGACATGGTCCTGAAATATGCATGGTGATGTGTTCAGAACTAGTTTAAGAGGAGCCAAAGTTTTATGAAGATAAATAACACAAGATAGGTTAATTGTATAGTCAGAGGCCAAGATGGAATGAGTTTTGAGTGATTGACAGTAGTTCGAACTTCATCCTCTTAAGGCATGGAGAGCCTCAAAGGGTTTTGATTAGTGAGGTTATATGTACAATGTTATGTTTTAGGAAGAAGAAACTGGGAGAAATAGAATGATCTATAACAAGGAGAGAATAAAGGCAAGGAGTTGAAGGGTACATAAATATGAGCATTATACTATGTGTTACAGGCAGCAGGGAAAGTTTCTGCCTGCACCCAGGTAGGAAGAAGAATGCTATGATCTAGAAAGAAGAAGCAGAACTATGGCCAGTCAAACTGGATTCCCAGAAGATGTTCCTGATAAAGCGATATAGGCCCCTCTGTCCATGGCATACCCCAGCACTGGGCCTCCAGCAGGCTCAGCTAGCCTCTCTTAGGGTCTGATCCCCCACCTGTAATTCATCCTAATGGGACCTAGAATAGTCAGTCGCTCAGGGCCAGTTATGGAGATAGGCTATGATTTCCATGGCCCTTCTACTTTGGAACATAGCTCCATACTTTCCCACTAATGCCAGTTACCCCTTTAACCGAGAAAAAGTCACTTTTTTTCTTTATTTAAAGCTTAAAAAAATCCTTTTTGAGGCAAAAGTGTATCATGAATATCATTTCGTCAGTGTTAGTGGCCATCTTCAGTCCTTTTCAATTTCAACTGGAAGCAAAAGAGGGATTTTAAAGGACATGGAATACTGTTACCTAAAATTGTTTAAAACACCTTCAGTTAGACATCAAGGAAAGATGCAGAAAGCAATAACAGGAATAGAAAGCACACCTAAAGAGATCTGCCACCTTTGCTTAGAATTGACCCTGTTAACCATGAGGAGAGGAAGAGATTAGGCAAACCACAGTCAGGAAATTTGGTCATATATTTGCAAAGGCACTCATTTCCTACCTCATGAAACTCTGCATATTTTTAAACCCAGTTTGCTGAGCAAAGTGTCAGGTTATTGGGGCATCCTTTAATGACATACTGTTAATTCTGAACTAGAATTTCTATATATGTGAGGCTATGGATTACATTCAGAAATTCTATATATGTAGGTAGGGCTACTGATTGTATTGAAAGCTCCAGGAATTCATTTATCATCTTCTTTTCACAGCCTCTAGGTTACTATGCAATGAAAATATCCTCTTCTAAAATAGTTTTTCTAGGCTGGGCATGGTCGTGCACGCCTGTAATCCCAACACTTTGCAAGGCCGAGGCAGGAGGATTACTTGAGCTGAGGAATTCAAGATTAGCCTAGGCAACATAATGAGACCCTGTCTCTTTATAACAAATAAAAATAAATAAGTAAATAAAATAAAAGTTTCTCTAGCCAAATAAACTTTTTAGAAGAGATTTCCAAACAGTAATTGATCAAAATAAAAGTAGTGTCCAATAACTATACAGTCTTTAAATGTTTTCATACCAGGAATCTTTAAAAATATAATAAGCAAGCCTAATGAAAAGGAAGAAGCCATTGTTTTGGAAATCCAGTCTGATATATTACTTATCCTATCTGGCCTTTGTGAGAATCACATTCAAAGGAAGGTATGTATGCCTGTGAAAGTTTTGTTCAGGTCTCCCAGTCACCTAACACTATAAACTATTTTTGGAAGTCTCTATAATTGTATTTAATTTTGTGAAAATTTAATATTTTTGTTAATAATTAGAGCATAATTATATAAAGTAAAAGGTACAGAATATACAACAGTATACACCCATTTAACTCATACCCCCAATTAAAACAGAGAATATTTCTATCTCTATAAAATTTCCTCATCCCATTAGAAGCCATGCCCCTACTCACTTCCAGACAAACTACTGTTCTGTTTTCTATTCCTATAGGTTGGTTTTCCCTATTCTTTAAGTTTATATCAATGGAATCGCACAATATTTACTCTTTTATGTCTGGATTCTGTCACCCAGCATCATATTTTAGAAATATATCCATGTTGGCCGGGCATGGTGGCTCAGGCCTGTAATCTCAGCACTTTGGGAGGCTGAGGCAGGTGGATTGCCTGAGGTCAGGAGTTTGAGACCAGCCTGGCCAACATGGTGAAACCTCATATCTACTAAAAATACAAAAATTAGCCAGGCGTTGTGGTGTGCGCCTGTAATCTCAGTTACTCGGGAGGCTGAGGCACGAGAATTGCTTGAACCTAGGAGGTAGGTTACAGTGAGCCCAGATCTCACCACTGCACTCCAGCCTAGGTGACGCAGTGAGACTCCATCTGAAAAAAAAAAAAAAAAAAAGATAGAAATATATCCATGTCATTGCATGTATCAATAATTCATTTCTTTTTATTGCTAAATAGTATTCCATTGTGTGACTATGCCAAAATGTGTTTATCTGTTCCCCTATTGATAGATAGGCACTTGGGTTGTTTTTATTTACAGCTATAATGAATAAAGCTTCAGTGAATATTCTTGTACTAGTCTTTACTAGTGGGTATAATGCTTTCATTTCTCTCGGGTAAGTATCTACAATTGGAATTGATGTATCATAAAGTAGGTGTATCTTTATAAGAAACTGCCAAACAGTTTTCCAGAGTGGGCTGTACCATTTTAAATGTTGTTTGGGGTTTGAATTGGGTTCAAACCCAAAGCCAAAATTTAGAACGAGATCTTAATCCCCTTTTATCTTTTTTAGCTCCATAGTGAACTCTGAGTCTCAGAGATTGATAATTTAAATGTTAAATAGCAAGGGATGGAATTGGAAAGATAAAAACAAAAAAATGATGGTTTCAATAGATAGATTTTAAGTGAACGCCTGTTTAGCTCCAAGCTTTGATGCAATTTCTCATCATATTCTACCACCCTGTGCCTGGGCTCCTCTGGAAAAATAATCATAATCTTGCTTACTGGGAACCAGAACTGAACAGCAAGGCAATAAGAAAGGTAATTAGTAAGAGAAAAATATTAAGTGGTTAAAACTTCACAAAAATTATTAAATGTTTTAACTACATTTATATCTTATTTCTCTCGGGGTCATTAGAAAATCTTGCATGATAGTTCTTACTATCTAAGAATTGATCTGACATAATGCTAGACTGCATTGATTATAATATTGAAGAAAATCAAGGTACAAATTTTATGACTTCTTTTAGGAGAAAGGGAATAAAACAAAAAATATCAAGGGATATTATTAAGCTGGCATGTTGATTGATGCCCCCTCTTAAAATGATTAATTTTATAATAATTTGTTTTAAATTCCTGAGAACAAGTAAGTACGGTTTTTTAAATTGCAGTAAAAATAGTATTTTTCTAACAATGTTGCTGTATTTCTCTGGTAAAAAAGCAATATTAGGGGACCGATAAAGTAGGAAAGGGAGGAATTATTTATTTATTTCAAGAAATAATTTAAAACAAATATCTTAAACAGGAAATTTTCGGAACTGAAGGAGTAGATATCGTTCTTCATGTGATGAAAACAGACCCCAGGAAGTTACAGAGTGGCTTAGGCTATAATGTACTTCTTTTTAGTACATTGGACAGCATTTGGTGAGTATTGCTATAATCAAATTAGGTAGACTCACAGCAGTCATGCATCACTTTACAACAGTGAGGATACTTTCTGAGAAATGTTTCCTTAGGCAATTTCATCTTATGCAAACATTATAGGATGTAGTTACACAAACATAGATGGTATAGCCTACTACACACTTAGGCTAGATGGTATAGCCTAAAGGCTACAAACTGTATGTCATATTACTGTACTGAAGATTGTAGGCAATTGTAACACAATAGTAAGTATTGTGTATCTAAACATACCTAAACATTAAAAAAGGTACAGTAAGACTACAGAATAAAAGATAAAAAAAAATTCTTAACGCTTGTATAGGGCACTTATAAATGGAGCTTGCAGTACCAGTTGCTGTGAGTGAGTCAGTGAGTGAATGGGGAATGAATGTGAAGGCTAGGACCTTATTATACATTACTGTAGACTTTATCAACACTCTACATTTAGATTACACTAAACTTACTTTTAAAATATTTTTCTTTTCTCAATAAATTAACCTTAGATTACTGTAATTTTTTTTTTACTTTATAAATGTTTTCATTTTCTTTATGTTTTTGGCTCTTTTGTAATAACATTTAGCTTAAAATACAAATACATTGTATAGCCATACAAAAATATTTTCTTTCTTTATATTTTTATTCTATAAGTTTCTTCTGTTTTTAAAAAAATTACATTGTTTTTACTTGTTAAACATTTTGTTAAAAACTGATTCAAACACAAATTAGCCTAGGCTTATGAAAAAATATTTGTGTGCATATATTTTATTAAACATCATAGATATTTCTGTCCAGTATACACCTAGATGTAAAAATGCCCAGATCTGGGCATTTTTACGTCTGTTCAGCTTTAGGAGATAATACTAAAAAATTTTCCAAAGTACTTACATCAATTACACCTTTCCCAGTAGTGTGGAGGTTTCTCCTTTTTCCACACCCTTACCAACACACTGCGTTGTATCTTTCATTGCAGCCATCCTTATGGACTTGTGCCAGTGTCTCTTTGTAGTTTTAATTTTCATATTCCTGATTGCTAGTGAGTTCATTTGCCATTTAAATAGCCTTTTTTTGTGTGAAATCCCTACTCAAGTCTCTTGCTCATTTTTCTACTGAATTACCTATTGTTTTTTAGAGTTCTTTATATGTCCTGGATATGAGCCTTTTTCTGTTATATGTTTGTCAAATATATTCTGCCACTCTGAGGCTTACATTTTCACTCTCTTCACTCTCTTTTTGTTGAACAGATAGTCTTAATTTCAGTGTGGTCCAATTTACCAGTCTTTTTTTATGGTCAGTACTTTTAGTGCCCTGTTTAAACAGTCTTTCCTTACCCCATAGTCATGAAGATCACTGCCTATGTTTCTTCTAGAAGCTTTATTGTTTTGCCCTTTACATTTAGACCTACAATCTACCTGGAATTGATTTGTATGTATGGTGTAAGGTGAGGTACAAGTTTTACTTTTTTTGTATGGTTGTAATTCAATGCTGTTTTTGGATAAACCATCCTTTACCCACTGCTTTGCAGTACCTTCTTTGTACAAATCAAATGTCCGTATATATTTGGATCTATTTCTAGGCTTTCTGTGCTGTTCTACTGGTCTTTTGTCTATCCTTCTGTAATGTGCTATTTTAATAATTAGGTCTTGATAAGTCTAGACATCTGGTAGAGTAAGTCTTTCTACGTTTTCCTTCCCCATTAAGATTGTCTTAGCTTTTGCTGACCCCTTGCATTTGGATATTATATTAGTCAAGATTCCCTAGAGAGACAGAACCAGTAAGAAAAAAACATAGAGAAAGAGAGATTGAGATTTATCATAAGGAATTGGCTCACACAATTATAAAGGCTGAAAAGTCCCAAGAACTACCGTCAGCAAGTGGAATACCCAGGAGTACCGATGGTGTAGTTCCAGTCTGAGACTGAAGGCCTAAGGACCAGAAAACCCAGTGTTCTGAGTGCCAATCTGAAAGCTGGATGCTTGAAGCCCAAGAAGAGCAAATATTTCCATTTGAGTCTGAAAACCTGAGTCCCAGCTCAGCAGTCAGGCAGAGGAGTTCCCTCTTACTCAGCCTTTGCATTCTGTTTAGATCTTCAGTTGCTTGCATAAGGCCCACCCACATTAGTAAGGGCAGGCTACTTTATTCAGTTTACTGATTAAAATGTTAATTACATCCAGAAACACCTTCACAGACACACCCAGAATAATGTTTGCCCAAATCTCTGGCCACCCCAGGGGTAAAACCTGGGACCACCTGAATGGGAGGAGCAAAGCTGATGGCATTTCATATACCAGCCTCTACCCTACTCCTACTTTCTATGCACTATGATGAAACAGGCAGTAGAAACAATGTCTTTTGAAACAGGCAGTAGAAACAATGTCTTTTCTTTTCTTTTCTTTTCTTTTCTTTTCTTTTCTTTTCTTTTCTTTTCTTTTCTTTTCTTTTCTTTTCTTTTCTTTTTTAAGGGGAGCTATGTTTAGAAAGGGGACACAGGAAAGTGACCACAGCAGGCTTGCAATTTCTGGGAGGAACTGAGAATAGTATCTGTTGCAACCACCAGTGATAGCTTGTTCAGTCCACATTCCCTATCAGGAAGAAGAGTGCAAGTAGCCCCGGCAGCAGCTTTAAACCTTGATTCCATGTGAGCTGCACAAACCAAAGTAGGCACTTTAGCAAATTCTTATAGGAAAGGGTTCCTGATCCAGACCGAAAGAGAGGGTTCTTGGATCACACACAGGAAAGAATTCAGGATGAGTCCAAAGGATAAAGTGAAAGCAAGTTAATTAGGAAAGTAAAGGATAAAAGAATGGCTACTCCATAATCAGAGCAGCCCTGAGGGCTGCTGGTTTCCCATTTGTATGGTTATTTCTTGATGATATGCCAAACAAGGAGTGGATTATTTATGCCTCCCCTTTATAGAACATATAAGTTAACTTCCTGATGTTGCCATGGCATTTGTAAACTGTCGTTGCACTGGTGGGAGTGTAGCAGTGAGGACAAGCAGAGGTTATTTGTGTCAGCATATTGGTTTTGATGAGTTTTACCTGGCTTATTCACTGCAACCTGTTTTATCCCCAAGGTCTTCATGACCTGTATCTTTTGCGACCTCCTATCTCATCCTGTGACTTAGAATGCCGTGACCATCTGGGAATGCAGCACAGTAGGTCTCAGCTTCATTTTACCCAGGCCCTATTCAAGATGGAGTTGCTCTGGTTCAAATGCATCTGACATTTTCCCCATCCCTTTTATAAGAGAAGCCTTAATCCTTAGGGTTGCAGAGGGATTAAGATCCGTCTTCTGTAACATCTTCAGGCTGAAGAGGGGTGATGATATTCCTGCCTATCTATTAGGGTCTCTTGTGTTCAGGGTACAGGGGAGCTCAGTCAGAAAGCACTGGTATGTTGAGGGTCATTCATAACTCTTGAGTTCTGACAGAAGGTGATATCTGAAAGAGTAACAATTGAAAATTAATTATTGATTAATATTGATAAAATTGAATAGAATATCAATTCTGGTTTTCACATTACCTAGCCCTCTTGTTTCTTCTGAGCAGCAGTCAGAGATCACTGGTTGGTTCCCAGGAATGAGCAGCGTTAGCCTAAATTGCAGAAACAAACTTGAAAACAGCTGATGAGACTAGAATCTAACAACAGGTGTACCATAGTTCTTGAAACATATTTCTCTCTCCAGTTTCCCATTTATCCTAAAGACAAATTATAATAAGGCCAATTTGCTTTATTATACTTGGCCTGATTATTTGTATAAGGTGCAGCAAGAATAATTATTTGCCATATGGGCTATTTGAATTGGCTTTGATGGAACTCTGTTCCATAAGGAATCTCAGATAAGACTTTTTTAAAGCCAAGCCCAGCCATGGGTTTGTACCCTCACATACCTAAGAGTTTGGTAAATTTCTCTTCTCTTGAGGTCCCAAGATAACTTGGGGCTCCTGGGCCTGTCAGAAAGTGACATTCTTTACTTACCACAGGCCAGGAACCCTATACAGAGACTGTGTAGACAAAGTATCAAGTTTTCCCAAAGGACTTTTATTGGCTTTACACATCAAGTCTGATTCCTCAAAGCACACCATTCCAGTCAAAGCCTTAGTAAAATAATCAGTTTCTCCAATTGTGTCCTGTTGCAAAAGAAAACAGATTCTTATTATACTTCTTGTTGCAAATACCTATATTGCCATAAATTAAGAACACTCACGAATAGTTGTCAAATTCTGGAGAAATTGGGTAGAAAAAACAAATATGCTCCAAATTTTGTTCACACGAGCATACTTTACCCAATTGTTAAAAGCTGTAAATAGCTCCAAAGATGAGTTGTCTTGACTCTGGGCGGAAAAAAGGATCAGCAACATTTTAAGCAACAAGTTAAAAAAGATGATTTTAGACTTCTGTTAGTTTAGTCCACAAAATTAATTTCTGTTTGATATTCATGAACATTTCAGCTCTCTATGAGAGTTCTGAAAGGTTTTTTCCTCTATTCAGAGATCACAATCTCCAAAGTTATCAGAAACCTGCATTTAAGAATACCTGTTAGAGTTCTATAGCTGACTATAAACGACCTTTTGAAGAGGATCAAAACAAAACAATTGTTTGTGGATGACAAAACATCGCACAGTCAAAAACATGATTGACAAAGCAATTTAGTTATCTCAGTGGCATACAACGATTTTATGTAGCAATTATAACTATTAGTGACCTATACTAAGTCATATGAGAATTGTAGGCGTTTCCCATCATTTTGGAACACATACCAATAACACATTTATGCAAATATAGCCCAAAGAAAGCTAAATACTGTTTCACATTTGACAATGCTTCCTGTATGATGTTTATACCAAATAAGCCAAATTTTACCTTTACATTAGTGTACTATTAATTTTACACTCAATTCTTAATAAAACCTTATAGACATATCTACCCAATTTTAATGTTTGACCATAAGGTAAGATTCTCATAAACCTTTTATAACCCTTTACAATTTCTGTTAAAGAGCAGATCATAAACAGGATTTTGCTCCAAGAAAAACCTGTTGTCATTTATGCCAATGTTCAGTTTACAGAAAAACTGAATAATACCCCTTTAATTTTAGCCAATGGCCACACACAGAATTTCTTTTACAATTTTTTCACAAATCTGCCCCAACTTGCTTAAACCTTCAGCTTTATCTTATCTAATTGTAAAATACCCTTTAATGTAGGAAAAAAAAATCCACATTCCCATGACTTCTTATAATCTTTTGCCAAAAACACATTTCACTTTCTTTATACACCTTACATATAAAACTGTTTCTTTAGTAGTCTCAAATACTTGTTACGCTGTTAACTCTTGGCAACTTTTGCTTTTGGCAAAAAGCTTGGTAAGTTCAGCATTCTAATTATGTACTAGGCATGGAGCCTAGGACCCAGACAGAAGTACAGATAAGGTCTGACTCTTTCCAGCATCTTATTCCATGTGTCCCAGGCCTTACCTAGCCATAAAGCAGGCAAGTTACAGTAAGAGTCATAGTGGCATTTTATGAAGCATTAAGGGGGCCTAACGACCTTCAAATTGTACAACATTTCTTGCACAAACTCCCTTTCACTAATCCTTTCACGACTTACATAGACTATGACATGCTTAGACTTTCTGACTTTTCCTAAACATCCCTCTTTTTAAGCAACCAGTTGTTTTACTTTAGGACAAGAATCTACCATACAAGATTGTTTTTTATATAACATCTGTTTTCTTTACAACCTTCTTTGCATAGCTAGGGGGCATGGCTAATTTCACATGTCCCCAGCCCTATCTACAATCTAATGCTCCTAAATAAATTGAACAATTTTCAAAAGTCAAAGAAGCCATTTATGACCGTAAAGTATTTGGAAAACCTGATACCTGATCTGCATAATTTACACCAAATGTTACATTTTTGAAGAATTTTTGTTTTACCAATAATCTTTATTAAAACTGTCTTGATTTCCCTAAGATTACTAAAGTCACATGAACTGAACATCATTCTACTTTTTACTTTTCTGAAAAAATATTTGATTTAAGTTCTTCTTATTAATAAACTAATTAGAGCTCTTTCATATATAAACATCACACACATAATACATTTAAATATGGAGACACGCAGAAGATGAAGGACTCCTTCCCTAAGCCAGGAATTGAACCCTGGACCGGGGCCGCCATTGTGAAAAGAGAAAGCATGGCCACAAGGTTACAAGGTCAAGCTCCCAAGGACATACAAGACGAGGGAAACCTCGTCCAGTTTTAGTTTTTTGGGGGACTTGCAGCAAAGTTTGTAACTGACCAGTTTGCTGGGCCATCTTGAAAGCAGGCTTACAGGTGTCCTAACCCTATGTTCTCTCCTAAGGTACCCCTCTTTATGACAGAACAATACAGAAAGACAAAGTACACCAGATTGGCTACAGGTTAAGATTAGGCTTTCAAATCATTTCTCCCATTAATCAAAACTTTACAGAGGAGACAGTGATTTTTACCATTCATTCAACTGGTTTGCACAGAGGGGAAGGGAAGGGAAAAAGGGAAGGGAGCATTGCTTTTGGCAGTGTGGGGAAGGTGAGGTGCTCAGGGAGGCCAGAGAAAGACCTGCCCATTGGTGCCAACACTGAATCAAAAGTTCAGCCAGTTGCTTTTCAGTCGAGACGGGATCTTTTCCAGCATTCCCATTTGCTCTCAAGTTTCCCCTTTTAGGGAGGAAAAAGCTTCCTCTGTCCCACAATCCTACATGCGCCTAATCCTCTCACCCATAACCATAAGCAAAAAGTGCAAGGCAGATTATTCCAAAGAGAATAGCAATTAACATCCCATAGTGCCAAACCCATTCTTAGCCAAAAGGGACTTTACTGAGAGGGGCCTCTAACTTCCTAAATCTTAGAAGGGATTCTAACCCTCCTAAATTTGCCTTCAAATCCAGGGTCGGTCAAGTTTCCTTGCTTTTTAATAAGAGGGGCTTTTAACCCACTTTGACTTAAGGAGAGACCCTAACTCCCCTAAGTTGACCTCTAACCCAATGCCATCCTTCAGCCGAGTACCCAACCACTCACCCAAGGTCGGCCAACCAGTGCTGTCGTCTCTTTCCTTTGGTTTGGGGCTGAGGGCTTTCTTCAGTATCGTCCCTTCGGGGCTTGCCAGAAAGATGTTACCAGACCCCAACACTTACCCAATATTAGCCTTTGAGTCGGGGGTTTTCTCACTATTGTCCCTTCCATGGTTGCCAGAAGGATGTTACAGGAAAGGGGTCCCAATCCAGACCCCAAGGGAAGGTTCTTGGATCAGGCGCAGAAAATAATTCAGGGTGAGTCCACAGAGTAAAGTGAAAGCAATTTATTAGGAAAGTAAAAGAATAAAAGAATGGCTACTCCATAATCAGAGCAGCCCTAAGGACTGCTGGTTGCCCGTTTGTATGGTTATTTCTTGATGATATGCCAAACATGGAGTGGATTATTTATGCCTCCCCTTTATAGGCCATATAGGGTAACGTCCTCATGTTGCCATGGCATTTGTAAACTGTCATTGTGCTGGTGGGAGTGTAGCAGTGAGGATGACCGGAGGTCACTTTTGTCAGCATCTTGGTTTTGGTGGGTTTTAGCCGCCTTCTTTACTGCAACCTGTTTTATCCGCAAAGCCTTAATAACCTGTATCTGTGCTGAACTCCTGTCTCATCCGTTGACTTCGAGCGCCTTAACCTTCTGGAAATGCAGCCCAGTAGGTCTCAGCCTTATTTCACCCAGCCCCTATTCAAGATGGAGTTGCTCTCATTCAAACACCTCTAACAAAATAATCTCAACTGCAAAGATGAGATATAATCAATAATTATCCAATGTTTAAAGTGCACCAACATCTTGAAACAGCAATGTCGACAAGGCCTGTAAATATTTTACAGAGTTTCATTCTGAGCCCAATATAATTGACCAAGGCCTGAGGCACGGTTTTTTGTTGTTATTGTTGTTGTTGTTGTTGTTTAGACGGGGTCTCATTCTGTCACCCAGCCCGGGGTGCAGTGGCGTGATCTCAGCTCACTGCAACCTCCTCCTCCTGGGTTCAAGCTATTCTCCTGCCTCAGGCTCCTGAATAACTGGGATTACAGGCGCCCACCACCATGCCCGGCTGATTCTTGTATTTTTAGTAGAGACCTCGTTTTGCCATGTTGACCAGGCTGGTCTCGAACTCCTGACCTCAGGTGATCCACCCCCCTCAGCCTCCCAAAGTGCTGGTATTACAGGCTGACCACCACACCCAGCCTGAGGCACAGTTTTAAGAGGTCCTGAGAAAATGTGCCCGAGGTGGTTGGGCTACAGCTTGGTTTTATACGTTTTGTGGAGATATAAGACATCAGTCAGTACACATAAGGTGTGCATTGGTTTGATTCGGAAAGGAAAGGCAACTCAAAGCAGGAGTTTACAGGTCAGAGGTGGATTCAGAAATTTCCTGATTGCTATCTGTTGAAATGGGTAAGTTATTATCTAAAAACTGGGGATCAATAGAAAGGAGTATCTGAGTTAAAATAAGGGATTGTTGAGACCAAGTTTCTTATTATGTGGAATAGTTGGTAAATGTCTCTTATCAGACCTTAAAAGGTGCCGGACTTAGTTAAATCTCTCCTGGATCTGGAAAATACTTGGACAGGGGAGGGGATTCGCTACAGAATGTAGATTTTCCCTAGAAGAGACAGCTTTGCAGGACCATTTAAAAATATGTCAAAGGAATATATTTTGGGGTAAAATACTTTGATTTCTTTCAGAGCCTACTGTCATGTGATGCTATACCAGAGTCAAGTTGGAATTTGGTATCTCATTGCTGTGAAGAGTCTGTTTTTTCATTCTTAAGATCTCTGTTTTAACGTTAATACTCACTGGTCAGTTGTGCCTGAATTCCAAAGGGAGGAAGTTATAATGAGGCATGTCCAACCCCTCCTTCCCATCATGGCCTGAACTAGTTTTTCAAGTTTACTTTGGAATGCCTTGGCTGAGAGAAGGGTTCGTTCAGTTGGTTGGGGGGCTTAGAATTTTATTTTTGGTTTACAGCAACAATAAATGGATATATCTTGCAAAAAAAGTTATGAGACCAGCCAGAGATGATCACTAAGAATAATTAATATCATGAAAGCAAAGGAGAATGTTTTATTTGTAGGAAAGAAATAGGCAGTTATGGAAAAGAATGGATATTGATTTTTAAAAACGTTGAAACTGAACAACGCTGGTAAAGTTTCTTCAAAGTTCTATTTTTTTAGGTAAAAACATTAGCTACTTGATTTAAGAAAATGAAGAAAACATATTCTTTGAAAATGCTTTGATAAAGATAAAGCTGTACAAATTCAGTTTAACAATAAATGTTTGTCAAATGAATAACTTTCTTTTAATTTAAGGTGCTGTATTTTGGGATGTTATCCCTCAGAGGATTATTTTCTTGAAAAGGAAGGCATTTTTCTCCTTTTGGATTTGTTAGCAGTAAGTATGGCTATAACAATCATAAGACAAAAGACAAATATGTCTATTAAAGGCCGTTTCCAAACTGAATGCCACAGAGCACAAGTCTATGAATAAATGTGCCCCAAATCATGTTCAAAGGTACGGTCTTAAACAAAATTGCTCCTAGAAATTCATAATACACAGTGTTTTAAAGGCTCTGAAAATTCCTCTGGTTGGAAAGTCATTTTACCAGTGTTTTTTCAGTGTTTTCAAATACACGGGAACAAAGAATTTGTTTTTCTTTGTACTCCATCAACCTGTTAAGAAACAGTTTGTGAAGAGCTTGACCATATGAAAACCCATAGTCATTTATTAATAACTTCTAGTTTCTTCCCCTGATATTAAAAGATAAGGGCCACGTTAGACAAGGAGCAAAGATAAGCATTTTTAAAGAACTATGTATTATTTGGAGGTAACCTGAAGAAGTCTAGTGACTCATGGACCATTGTTTTGCAGAATGAGCAGATGTGAGCAAGCTAGGCCTTCCAATAGAGACAGTGCCATCTAGCAGCTGTGAAGAATATAGCCCCTTACTAGCCTCAATTCTAACTGGAATCCATAGTCAGGATGATATGGGAGGAAACGTACAATTTTGTTTCAATAAAATTTTGAGAGAGATTCTCACACAGAGTTCTAGCCCGCTCCCTGTCCGTGATTCTATGATTGCCACTATTCTTGATTTTATTAACAGAATAACAAACCTACTTTGATTTAGCAAAAGTGCTAAAATTATTTGTGCCCCTTAACCTCCCTGAAAGTTAGTTCATTTCTCTCTTTTCGATTTCTTTACCTGTAAAACAGAGATAACAACATTATATATCTTATTGTATTGTTGGAAGGATTAAATGAGTGATTGTATGTCTGTGTGTGCATCTAAGTGTGCATGCATACATATATATTATAGATTAAATATAGTGCCTAACATGATTCCTGTATTTACTGTTATTATGAATATTATTGCTAGAATATATTTAATGCTGATTCAACCAAATTAATTGCAAATTACAGATATTATTTAATGAAGATTTTATATCAATTTCAATCTTTCACATTTGCCTGTCTCCTGAAGTAGAGAAATAAAAAAACTCATTTCCTTGAGTGTTTTGCTTAATACAACTCTGCTGAAATATAAAGTATGTAATGATAACTGCTAATAATGGTTAAATGTTAATGAGAGCTGACTATGTACCAGGGAGTCTCATATAACTCATAATAACCCTTTGCAGGTAATATTATTATCCTTTCATTTTATAAAAGGAAACTGATGATGTTCGCAATTAAAACAAAAGCTTACATATTTCCTTTGCTATATTCAAATAACAGTATACTGTAAAAGTTAATCAACAAAAAGTATTTCACATAGAAGAATTAGATTATGGAGGCCATTGCTCTGGATGGAATTTTCTATACCTAAATTTTGGTGTACTGAAAACTACTTGTAGCAAAATAAAGGAAATATGCTTTATAATAGGAGAATTTTTTTGAATCCTTAAATACTCTTTTATGGATGATGATTGCCACAAAACCAAATTACATCTTGTTTTATTTTCATATGTGATTGTCATTTGCAGTTACCATCAGTTACTCTCTTAATAACAAAGAGATTACAGTTAGTATGAATCTTTACAAGCCTTAATAAAGCATATAAATTGGAAAGATCCTGTAATTACAGTGAACTCTGTATAACACTATCGAGCTTCGCCACTTAAAATGAACATCTTCACTTATTTGTGCAAATCTTTTTCCAACTCAGCCACATCAGTCACATTTTGGTCATGATATATGTTTATAATGACTTCAGAATTATATTAAATCTTTTACTTTTTATCCTTTTAAATTTCTAATGTTTGAAAATATAGTCATTACAATGGGTGTCCATTTTAACAGGAGATTTTCCTGACTCTGAGTTTAGAAGAAACTTAATGATAATAGAAGTGTTTCTCTCTTTTTTTTTTGAAGACAATAATTCTTAATATTTATTGCAACTTTTTTCCTTTTCTGTTTCCTTGCTAAAGTTGAACCAAAAAAAATTCTGTAATCTAATACTTGGAATAATGGTTGAATTTTGTGATAATCCCAAAACTGCAGCTCATGTCAATGCTTGGCAAGGGAAGAAGGATCAGACAGCTGCTAGTCTTTTAATTAAATTGTGGAGAAAGGAGGAAAAAGAACTAGGAGTAAAACGTGATAAAAATGGGAAGATCATTGGTGAGTATATTTATAATTGTTAGTAGAAGCAATTAATGTATATATTTTAAAAGATCTTTAAATGGTATTAAGAAAGCATCAGGCCTTTCACCCCTTTGTCTAAAGTTTTTTTTTTTTTTTTACAAGGGTTTGAAAAATTTGCTATCCTAAGTGACTGGAAGAAAACTAAGTAAATTAGTAGTAGGTTCATATTTTTAGAGAATATTTTTAAGAAATGGTATTTAATTATATTCTTTTAACTAAAAAAAAAATTAAAGTAGTTCCTAAAGATGCTTCTTTGGGTTTTCTGCTTTTATAGATAGATTCAATAATATTTCATTGAGATGTAAATAGATTGCTTCAAAATAATATTTTGGTATTTTATACATTTCTGTTCATTTTTCCTTTTTCTAAATCCATTAGGCAACATGATCTGATTAATGTTTATAGAGTTTACTTTTTATATGAAAGAAGATATTGTTTCCTAAATAAAAATAGTCCAAATGTTCAAAAATTTTAATTACTAGATTCTAAATTAATGAGACTTACAGTATCATAATTTTTAGTTCATTTACATATTCCATACTGCTATATTACATTTTTTTCTTTTTTTTTTCTTTTTTTTTTGTGAGACAGGGTTTCACTCAGGTCACCCAGACTGGGGTGTGATGGTGCAATCTTGGCTCACTGAAACCTCTGCCTCCCAGGCTCAAGCGATTTTCCTGCCTTAGCCTCCCAAGTAGCTGGGACTACAGGCATGCACTACCACACCCAGCTAATTTTTGTATTTTTTGTAGAGATGAGGTTTCACCGTGTTGCCCAGGCTGGTCTCAAGCTCCTGGGCTCAAGCGATCCACTCACCTCAGCCTCTGCCAAGTGTTGGGATTATAGGCATGAGCCACCACACCTGGCCAATATATTACATTTTCTTTTTTTCTTTTTTTTTTGGAGACAGAGTCTCGCTCTTTCGCCCAGGCTGGAGTGCAGTGACATGAACTCGGCTCACTGCAACCTCCGCCTCCCAGGTTCAAATGATTCTTCTGCCTCAGCCTCCTGAGTAGCTGGGTCTACAGGCACGTGCCACCATACCCAGCTAATTTTTGTATTTTTTTAATTAGAGACAGGGTTTCACCATGTTGGCTAGGCTGGTCTTGAACTCCTGACCTCAGGGGATCTGCCCAACTCCACTTGCCAAAGTGCTGGGATTACAGACATGAGCCACTGCACCCCGCCTACATATTCTAAGCCTTTTAAGATTCTTATGGTTTCATCTAAACGGTTCACTTTTTTTTTTAAATTTTATTTTAGGTTCAGGGGTACACATACAGGTTTGTTATATGGGTAAACTCATGTCACAAGGGTTTGTTGTACAGATTATTTTGTCACCCAGGTACTAAGCCTAGTACCCAATAGTTATTTTTTCTGACCCTCTCCCTCCTCCTACTCTCTACCATCTAATAGGCCTCAGTGTGTGTTGTTCTCCTCCATGTGTCCATGAATTCTCATCATTTAGATCCCACTTATAAGTGAAGACATGCAGTGTTTGGTTTTCTGTTCCTGTGTTAGTTTGCTAAGGATAATGGCCTCCACCTCCATCCATGTTCCCTCAAAATACATGATCTCACTATTTTTATGGCTGCATAGCATTCCATGGTGTATATGGACCACATTTTCTTTATCCAGTCTGTCATGATGGGCATTTAGGTTGATTCCATGTCTTTGCTATTGTGAATAGTGCTGCAGTGAACATTCATGTGTGTGTCTTTATGATAGAATGGTTTATATTCCTCTGAGCATATACTCAGTCACAGGATTGCTGGGTCGAATAGTAGTTCTGTTTTTAGCTCTTTGAGGAATTGCCACACTGCTTTCCACAATGGTTGAACTAATTTACACTCCCAGCAACAGTGTATAAGCATCCCCTTTTCTCCACAACCTTGCCGGTATGTTATTTTTTGACTTTTTAATAACAGCCATTCTGACTGATGTGAGATACTATTTCATTGTGATTTGAATTTGAATTTTTCTAATAATCAGTGATATTGAGCTTTTTTCATATGCTTGTTGGCTGCATGTATGACTTCTTTTGAAAAGTGTCTGTTCATGTCCTTTGCCCACTTTTGAATGGGGTTGTGTTTTTTCTTATAAATTTGTTTAAGTTCATTATAGATGCTGGATATTAGACCTCTGTCAGATGCATAGTTTGCACAAATTTTCTCCCATTCTGTTGGTTGGCTTTTCATCCTGTTGATAGTTTCTTTTACTGTGCAGAAGTTCTTAAGTTTAATTAGATCCCATTTGTCAATTTTTGCTTGTATTGTGATTCCTTTTGACATCTTTGTCATGAAATCTTTGCCCATTCCTAAGTCCAGATTGCTACTGCCTAGGTTGTCTTCCAGGGTTCTTATAGTTTTGGGTTTTACATTTAAGTCTTTAATCCAACTTGAGTTGATTTTTGTATATGGTATAAGGAAGAGGTCCAGTTTCAATTTTCTGCATATGGCTGGCTAGTTATCCCAGCACCATTTATTAAATAGGGAGTTATTTCCCCATTGCTTGTTTCTGTCAGCTTTGTTGAAGATCAAGTAGTTGTAGGTGTGTAGCCTTATTTCTGGGCTCTCTATTCTGTTATATTGAACTGTGTCTGTTTTTGTACCAGTACTATGCTGTTTTGGTTACTGTGGTCTTGTAGTTTAGTTTGAACTTAGGTAACGTGATGCCTGTAGTGTTGCTCTTTGTTTAGGATTTCCTTGGCTATTGGGGCTCTTTCTGGTTCCATATGATTTTTTGAATAGTTTTCTCTAGTTATGTGAAGATTGTTGTTGATAGCTTTATAGAAATACTATTGAATCTGTAAATTGCTTTGGGCAGTATAACCATTTTAATGATATTGATTCTTCCTATCCTTGAGCATGGGATGTTTTTCCATTTGTTTGTGTCATCTCTGATTTCTTTAAGCAGTATTTTCTAATTCTCATCATAGAGGTCTTTTGGCTCCCTGGTTAGCTGTATTCCTAGGTATTTTATTCTTTTTATGGCAATTGTGAATGGGATTGTGTTTCTGACTTGGCTGTTGGCTTGGCTGTTGTTGGTGTGTAGGAATGCTAGTCACTTTTGTACATTGATTTCGTGTCCCGCAACTTTGCTAAAGTTGTTTATCAGCTAAAGGAGCTTTTGGGCCGAGACTATGGAGTTTTCTAGATACAGACTCATGTCATCTGCAAACAGGGATAGTTTGACTTCCCCTCTTCCTGTTTGGATGCTTTTTTTTTTTCTTTCTCTTGCTTGATTGCTCTGGCCAAGATTTCCAATACTATGTGGTGAAAGAGCGCATGCCTGTCTTGTGCCAGTTTACAAAGGGAATGCTTCCAGCTTTTCTCCATTCCATATAATGCTGGCTGTGGGTTTGTCATAGATGGCTCTTATTATTTTTAGATATGTTTCCTTAAGTATTGTTTATTTTTAAATGTAAATACTTCCCCTTCTGATGACTTGTATCTTCAATCCATTTTTATTGTTTCTGAGTTTTGACCTATAGCATCATAAAATAGTTTTTATATTTATAGCATAATATATAGAAACCAAAAGTAAACAAGGTTACATCACTGTTAAACTGACATTACTCAAGTTCTGGATTTCAAAATTTTTTAAATTATTTACATAGAAGTTTTACTTTTAAAAAGTAATTTTGTGAAATTTTAATATTTTACATAAACAATAAAAATGAAGGCTCTAAGTTTTGCCACAGAGTGGGGAAGAAATAGCTGCTTAATTATTATTTCAAAAGTGTAACCGTGTAATAGGCACTATTTTTTTGCTACAATATTTTTATATATTTTATGTTATCTAGACTAAAATCTCAAAATTAAGTATTTGTTTACTATGGTTTTTATCTGTCCCTTTTCTATTTTCATGCTATCCAATGATTAGATACAAAAAAACCTCTATTTACTAGCTTTCAAGAAGAGCAAAAAATCATCCCACTGCCTGCTAACTGCCCATCTATTGCGGTTATGGATGTTTCTGAGAATATTAGAGCAAAAATTTATGCTATATTGGGCAAACTAGGTAAGAAGTTCTCTTCAAATTTGCAAGAGTCTGTTTTGCTAAGTATACACACTGATTTTACTTTGGAGACAGTTTTTCAAATATAATGAGCAAAAATCTCTTTATATAGAGAAATTCATTTTCCATTGTTACCCCAATTCCCAAACTGCACCCCTCACCAATTAAATCAGAATCTCTGTGTGTGGGATCCAGGCAATAGTATTTTTTAAAGCTCCCCAGGCAATTCCAATGTGCAGATAGGATTAAGGACAGTTAGTTTAGATGATTAAGCTTAAAATACTGACATTCTGAGTCACTTGAGTTTTTTTTTTTAAGTCTTTGCTGTCTATTAAGGAAAAAGTTTATCAAACACTCTTCAGCTTCTGAAGTAAGATATTATTGTCTGACTACAACACAGAAAGAAATGATTCCTATATATTGGATGACCTGGCAGAAATGTGTTATAGAAAGAAGCCTACTCACAAGCTACTCACAGAATTAACTTTTTCATAAATCAAGATGAAATCAAAAGTAACTTTGCATTTGTTTTTAGATAGGTAGATAGATAGATAGATAGATAGATAGATAGATAGATAGATAGATTCTTAGAATCACTTGCTCTGCTAAAGTAATTCTGTCTTTATAAACTTTATTTTAGATTTTGAAAATTTACCTGGCCTATCTGCTGAAGATTTTGTCACCCTTTGTATCATACATAGATATCTTGATTTTAAAGTAAGTATCTTTTTAATAACCTGATTATTAAAATCTAGATAGCAAAAAATTAACTGGAAAATAAAATATCTATTCATGGTTGTGAGCAATCATCTACATACTGTATAGTTTTTATTTTTCATTTTGCATCTGATGCTGTTGAAGAAATACACCATACACCCATCCCATGATTGGGTGTTTTTCATGGGATAAGATTTCATCCAACTTAGTTTGTGAAAGAAGATGTACAAAACTGATATAAGCCGGGCACGGTGGCTCACGCCTGTAATCCCAGCACTTTGGGAGGCCAAGGCAGGTGGATAACGAGGTCAGGAGATCAAGACCATCCTGGCTAACATGGTGAAACCCTGTCTCTACTAAAAATACAAAAATTAGCTGGATGTGGTGGCGGGCGCCTATAGTCCCAGCTACTCGGGAGGCTGAGGCAGGAGAATGATGTGAACCTGGAAGGTGGAGCTTGCAGTGAGCCAAGATTGCGCCACTGCACTCCAGCCTGGGCGACAGAGCGAGACTCCGTCTAAAAAAAAAAAAAGAAACTGATATAAAACTGTTCAGAAGCCTAGCAAAAAAAAAAAAAATTATTTTTATGAGATGGAGATTTTGCTCTTGTCACCCAGGCTGGAGTACAATGGCATGATCTTGGCTCAATGCAACCTCTGCCTCCCAGGTTCAAGTGATTCTCCTGCCTCAGCCTCCCAAGTAGCTGGGATGACAGGCACCCGCCACCACGCCCAGCTAATTTTTGTATTTTTTAATTTTTGTATTCTCATGCCTGCAATCCTAGCACCTTGGGAGGCCGAGGTGGGTGGATCACCCAAGGTCAGGAGTTCGAGACCAGCCTGACCATACAGTTTCTTCTCTTTGGAGTTGAAATTAAATAAGTTTTTATTTATTAAAATAAATTATTAATACTTATTAAAGTATTATTTTATCATTACTTTATATTATGATCCAATCTTGATTAAAAGATAGTAGGTTACTTACCTTGCTAGTTATATTTGTCAGTAAATACTTTTGAAGTCTCAAGAAAGTCTTTTTAAGTTAACATTGTCCTTCTACTAATATTAGTACTGTATATTTGGATGTTGTAAATGAGTAAACCTCTATTTTCTTTCTTTCCTTCTTTTTTTTTTTTTTTTTGAGGCAGAGTCTCATCCTGTCACCTAGCCTAAAGTGCAGTTGCATGATCACAGCTCACTGCAGCCTCAACCTCCCAGGCTCATTTGATCCTCCAGCCTCATCTTCCCAAGTAGCTGGGACTACAAGTGTGTACCCCCATACCCAGCTTTTTATTGGGGGGGGGCGGGGCGGGGTAGAGACAAGGTCTCACTGTGTTGCTCAGGCTGCCTTCAAACTCCTAGGCTCAAGTGATCCACCCACTCCATTCAGCCCAAAGATGAATTTTTTCCTTATCATAGATATATAATTTTTTTCTTTAATTTTATGGGTCCAGCACACTTCTGCTGCACAACTCTGCTCTTTTTTCTCTAATTCTAAATACACTCAAGAACGTTAACTTCTAGACAGCCTAGAATATGAGATGGAGCCACTGACATGATGGAACCATGGAGTTAAAAGCTTGAGATTCCATTATAATTTGCCTTAGCTAGAAAGTGAGGGGCAGGGCCCCTTTCTCAGGGTGGCTGGGTTCTAGGGTCCTAGTAATCCCCATGTTCATTCTCCTAAAAGTTCATCTTGACCTAGCCTTCAATATAGGGCTTTAGGGAGGAAAGTAACGATAGTTCAGAAAGATCAGAATAAATCAGCAGTTTCTGCAGCTGTGAAATCAAGGTAACTATAAACTAGAGGGCAGTGATGATGGTGATGATGGCAGGGAACTAGGCATAGGAGAGCCTTATCCATGAATAACATACCATTGAAAAACATTTGATAAATTCCTACTGAGTACTCAAATGTAGCTGGTACCCTCAATCATTCCCAATGCACTTATTCCCAGGAAGTAATTTAGGAAAAGTTTAAGTGTTAACAGGAGTGACTAACCATATAAAAAATTGTATAATTGTACAATTGCATGATTTGTTTTTGGTTAATTTAACTTTGTTAAACTTTGTTATAACAGATTGGAGAAATATGGAATGAAATATATGAAGAAATAAAATTAGAAAAATTAAGACCAGTCACTACAGATAAAAAAGCTTTGGAAGCTATTACAACAGCATCAGAAAATATTGGAAAGATGGTTGCTTCTCTGCAAAGTGATATAATTGAAAGCCAAGCATGCCAAGACATGCAAAATGAACAAAAAGTATATGCAAAAGTAAGCTACATAGGTAGTGAGGAGGGAGAATGAAGATAGGTTGGTTAATGGGCACAAAAATACAGTTAGATAGAATAAGTTCTGTTGTTCAATAGCACAGTAGGACAACTATAGTAACAATAATTTATTGTACATTTCAAAATACCCAGAAGACTTGGAATGCTCCTAACACAAAGAAATGATAAGTGTTTAAGGGGATGGATATCCCAATTACCCTGATCATTACACATTGTATGCACATATCAAAATATCACATGTATGCCATAAATATGTACAACTATTATATATCAATAAGAAAGTAAGCCACAGATACCATTAAGGCACAAGATAATAATTTCAATGTATAAACCCAGATGAAGTTATCCATAAGATATATTTTTCTTACTTGTGGGTGTTTCAGCCTTGAGTTATTTTGTGGTTTTCTCTTAGAGTTATTTTCAGTGTCTCTGTGCAGTTTTAAAAGAAACTATGGAGTTTGAGATTGAGTTACTATATTCAATGCTGTTTTTTTGCATTATAATTTTATTTCTACAGTCTTAAATTTTTAAAAGGCAGAGAGATACTTGAGACATGCCACTGGACTCCAGCCTGGGTGACAGAGTGAGGTTCTGTCTCAAAAAAAAAAAAGAAAAAAAAGAAACTGAAACTTAATTATCTTTCTCATTTCAGATACAGGCCACGCACAAGCAAAGAGAGCTGGCTAATAAATCATGGGAAGATTTCTTGGCTAGAACATCAAACGCTAAAACGTTAAAGGTAGGATTTTTAATGTATTATAGTATCCACAACAAATAGCCAACTCTTACAGACAGACTTTTTCAGGAACAAATATTCATTCATTTTTTCCTAGTGACCTTTCCGTACAATACCAGCACTATTAGATGCTCATATGCAATTTAGAGTGATAAGTGAAACTGCATTTCACAGTTACAGAAGATGCTGCTTTGAGTTTCATTTGGTTTATCAGGGAGAAACAAGGCTGATGTTCTTGACCTACATAAAGAAGAAGATGATAGCCAGGAATGAGCAGGAAAATGTGTTCTGCTTTCCATTCTGAACCTGCTTATTCATTGATTTCTTTTCTGTGAGAGGCAAAGTAAAGGACACAAAGAGCAACTATCTTGTATTACTCTGTCCCCCAAGAGCTTTTCCCTCTGTGATCACCAAAAGAAGCATTATGTTAAACTTAAATGTGAACTGGGGATAAATATCCCTTTGTAGAAAAATGTGGTAAGCTACTTCAACTGTAAGCTAGAAACTAATCTAAAAAATGTATAGTGCTAATCGTTCACTTGAAATATGTGAGAAACACCATGGATTTCCAGAATTTCATTACTTTTCCCCACCCTTTTCCATTAATATCTTGGATACACTTTTTAAAAAATCTCTCCTTCATTTCTGATACTTTGGATAGACTTTACCTAATGTTTCAATACTTCCTATAGATATAAAATTGCTAAATGTTAAGTTAGTCCACAAGACGGTGGAACCATATTAAGATAGCAAAACCAAATTTAAGAACAAGCTCACTCAAGGTACCAAGTTATCTCCCTGTTCACTGAAAGTTCTTCCCAATTCTACTTATAAAATGTCTTCCTAACTGCCTGTATTTTTAGCACTAGTTAATGAAAATCAGCTCCTTTCCTGCAGGTCATTTATTACTTCACATTTCACTTGTTTAGTGTAGCAAATACCTTGAAAATAACTTCAAATAGCTTAAATATAACTGCAATGAATTACATAATTTATATTATTCTGAATGCTTAAAACATTTAAGTGTACTTAATCAGTTGGTAATTTATGCAATATGTTTTGCAATATGCATCACCTGATATAAATTTAATAGCTTATTAAATTATGTGCTAAAAATTGAACCTGATTTCTTCAGGATCTGCTTGACTCCTTGGTCATATATGGATTTCTTGGACTACTTCCAGAAATCTCTGGAAGACTTTTAGGTGACTGGAGTCTTCTTCAATGTGCAAAGTATCTAACTTACTAATAACTGTCTTTTTAGTCTAAATGAGTAAATGCAGATTTCAGCGCTATCTAATAAACAACCAAAGCATAAGCCAGACACAATTAAATATGTTTTTCATTGTAAGTACCATCATTACTGATTTAATAGCAATTAATATTTTCTTTCTAATTTAAAAATCCTCAGAAAGCAAAAAGCCTTCAAGAAAAAGCTATAGAAGCCTCCAGATACCATAAACGACCACAAAATGCAATATTTCACCAAACACATATTAAAGGCCTTAACACAACGGTAAGATTCTTTCTCCATAACATTTTCTTAATAGACATTAAATTTAGAGTGTTTGAACAACTGTGCAAATATACTGAAAACCATTGAATTTTACCCATTAAATGGATGGATTGTGTGGTATTGAATTATATCTCAATAAAACTGTTCAAAAAAAATTTTAAATTTAAAAATTAGAAGTTAAAAAAATTAATAAAAAAAAAACTTAGGCCCCCAAAATATTATGTCAATGGGATTTTCATCTCACATTTTTTCTTTTTGCTGTTCAAATTTCACATCATTAAGGCATATTTATCTCCAATGTATATCCACTTTTGCCCGGTTCTGGTTTAGAGTAGGCCCAGCCCTCCAGGATTTCTAAGAAACTGCTATAAACACTAGTCAGCTTATAATTGTCCTTATATCTCTTTAACAGAAAAGACGCAGTGCTTCCCCTTTTCCTGGCGAGTAGATCCCAAGTGTTCCTGGTATCCTCTGCTAGACTTAATTTGCCCCCAGTTACAAAGCTGATAAGCAATAGAAATAGAATTCAAACCTACTTTTCCTGGCTCCGATGCCCTTATCTTTCTATTATACCATAACTGCCTCCTAGTTATTCATTACATTTGTGTCTTTTCAAAAGTAAGCTGAAGGATGAATGAGTTTTTCTCTTGTTGAAAATTGTGTAAATGGACTTTTAGATATTTACCTTTTGCCTTTTTAGGTGCCCTCTGGTGGAGTAGTAACAGTGGAAAGCACTCCTGCCCGATTAGTAGGAGGACCTCTGGTTGATACGGATATTGCTCTTAAAAAACTGCCCATTCGAGGAGGAGCCTTGCAGAGGGTGAAAGCAGTTAAAATTGTGGATGCACCAAAAAAGAGTATTCCTACGTAATATACTATAGAGACTTTTTGAAATAAAGTCAGCTTATAATTTTTTAGCTGAATATATCTTTATACATATGTAAAGCCAATATTTTAGAATAAGTATTTTAGTATAAATATTTTAGTAAAATACTATAAAAATAAAAGGACATATAATTTATTTTTATGGAAAACATCAACATGTAATATCAGAAGAGTTGTCATCAGTTTCTTTGGAAAGGCTACCAATTTTACTAAGTGAAATTGTAAAACATAGTACATCAGTTAGGACTCTGTTGGTTGCATGTGAACTATTCTAACTAGTTTAAGTCAGAAAAAAAATTTCTTACAGGCTCTATACCTATCAAATCTAGGAGGAATTTAGACTACAGGCATTGCTGAATCTAAGGACTAAAACTATATGAGTAGGATCTTCTCCTTCCCTAGCAGCTCCTGGCTTACATTCTCTTAGGTTCATGCCTGTGTCTCTGTGGTTTCTGCAGCTGCCTATGCATCTCAGGACCCCTGATTGCCCACATGCCTACGGTAGTCCTGAGCCATTCACCATGACTTTGGCCATGGCTGAGTACTGCCTATTCCTGGAGCCAGAAGCAGGGCAACTCCATCCAAAACATATGGATAGAGTGGGGAATCAGGGTACTATTATCAGAAGCAAGTATATATGAATATTGGGCAGCAAGATAAACAATAACTCTGCAACAAGTATGTTGGTCAAAATAAAATTATGTTTTCTCTGCTATAAAAGCAAATGTTAGTCATGAGCCAAATGGTAAAAAAGAAAAAAAAATGCAGCTGGTTTTACTCTTAATATATAAATATACAAAGCAAACTCTAATGCTACTTCTCTTCTTTAATGGGGAAGGGAAAGGTGTAATGGGGGAAGTGTTTTCCCTCATTTGGTAGTAGAGGTATCTTGTCAAAGAATAGGAGATAAATGCCTTTATGCTGGACATAGAGCAAATCTGTGTCCCTGGATGCCCTTATGAAGTCTCCCTCTCCTGCCTTCATTCCCTTCACACCCCTCCTCCAGCCTGGAAGCCACAAAGGACATGAGTTCATGTCCAGGAATCAGAGAGACAAGGACCTGTTTCTTAGGAAAATAAACTGGAATTTGAGTCTAGATTCTGGGCCCATGGGGCACACTCAGCAGTGTACTGGTAAATGGATAACTAGCTTTCCAGGAGGGAAAAGCCCTGATTTACATCATGTTCTCACCAATTCACACAGTATAAATACTGCCACTATTACCAATCTCAAGCTACCAACATGATGCCATTGAATACATGGTTGGGAAAACATAGATAGGTTCTTTCATTATTAGATAAGAGCAGGCTCTATCACCTCAATGTACCCACATTTTCCTCCTTCTTCTTTCCTCCTCCTCCTCTTCCTCCTCTTCCCCCAACTCACATTCCTCTAGGGATTTTCCATTATCCTGTCTGTGAAGACAGTAGCATCTTCATTGAGAGGTAGGGGTTGCAGCTCTTGTCATTGTTCTAATTAGAATGAGTTGCCAGTTCACCTTAGATTGGCGGCTTCTCACCCTGGCCCAGATGCCCATCCTCTTGTGCCCCATAGGAGTAGATAACATGCATCAGCTTATCAGTGAGCTTTGTTCTCTCCTGAATCCCTTTCTCTAGTCTACCACCTTCAAGAAGATATTAGAAGGCATAATTTGTTTCTTTCCTTCACAGGGAACCCTAAGCATGGGTAGGAGCATACAACGAGATGCCCATACAAAAAATACCAGATACATCTTAGGTACACTTGAATTGATGTGAAGTGTCCATGGCTAACAATGAATCTTTGCTCCATTTTGTAGACTATAAGCTCTCTAAGAACAAGGTAGAGACCATATCTCATTAATTATTGTACTTAGTATCTCCGGAAATAAATTATTAGATAATGTGATGGTGGCCTCAGCTACTGGCAGTCTTTCCCTTGAGCTCTGCAAATGCAGCAAAGTACTGAGCTCAAAGGGAAGATTCAGCCAACAAAATACTACACAAGTAATGCTCAACACAGACAACATGTTAGTTTAAATGTATTTACTTCATAACATGATAGATTTTCTCCAAAATGGTGAGGCATAAATACTACTACATGAATATAACCAAGGTGTGGAAATAGTATTACTTGCTTGAGTATCATTTTTGTATGTAGTACAACTAAATGTCTCAGATTGATTAGGACTGTAATCTAGACAATTTCTGATGTCTGTGAACCTTTCTTCTTCCATGTATTTTGCCCATCAGCAAGAAGAAAGGTAAAACAGGGCAGATTATTATGTAGCAGCTATTTAATAGACAAATAAGTGTAAGTTGATGGAAAGCAGTAATGTTCCTTAATACAGACACTTGCACTTGGTAGACAGATTCACCCAAGTTTGCATATTATAATTCCAGCCACCACACAGTGAGTGAGTGACTCTTTCTCACAATATCACTAACTCTAAGTCTCTGTCTCTCATCACATCCTATATTCTCACACCACCCCTGAGCCCTAGGGGACATGATGCCTACCCGATCCTGCCGGCTGAGAGAAGGATGGTATATTTTCTTACATTAGTCAGGTGAGACAAAATTTGAAGCTTTCAAACTGAAACTTTTACTAACCAACTGAATGAAAAGGAAGTCAAAAGAATAAAAGTGTGGAATTCAGTGAGCACAGATAAAAGTAGCTTCAACAATCTCAGTAATGAGACTTTTACCACATGGGGGAGCTCATTCTAGCATGGTTAAACTAATTGTCAGACAGTGCTGACTTACATTGAGTGAAAAATTAGTGAATAATTAGGTGAATAACTTTCATCCATCTGGCATCATCAGTCTGCCTTATGGAACATAAAGTATTTTATATACAACTATATTATCCACCTTAAGTCTTTTGAGGTCAGATATCCAGTTTCTTTCATCATTCTTCTGATAATGTAGTTTCTAGAATGTATGAATCTGGTCAGCTCCATCTGAAGTGCTACAATTTGTTAATACTCCTCTAAACTGTGACCAAACAGATCAAAGATTTTTCAGGTGAGCAGGATCAATGTAGTTCCTCTCATTTTTACACACATTCTGCCAACACAACCTTAACTTACATTAGTTTCATTAGCAACCATTTTTTATTGCTTATATTTAGTTGCCTTTCAAGGAAAATGTCAGGGATGCTTTCTGAGAAAGAATAGCAGACCCTGACATCCAGGAACTGTCCTGGTACTATCAGGTCAAAATTCTATAGATAGACCCAATACCCCAACTTTGGTTTCCAGTATCATTCTCCAATAAAATGAGCCAGGGCTTCTTGGAGAAATGGCTAATTCTAAGGCTGGCGCAGAAATATATGAGTCTGGAGCATCTTACTGAGCTCCCAGTGGCCAAAGCTGGAATGATTTGAACAAATCAATAATGTAGTGTTGGATTATAAACCAAAGTATAAACAAATGTTCATAAATCCATACTGATATAAATAAATGATGAAAGGAAGGGAAAAAAGGAAGGAAGGGAGAGAGAAAGTGGGGGAAGCCTCCATACAAAGAATTCTAAATGATTTATGTAGATATTCCCTCCTCAAGAAGGTAGAAGATAACTACCCATTCTCAAGTATGGGTTATGCTTAGTGACTTCTTTCCAGAGGATGTAATATAGAAAGAAAGTGGAAAGAAACTTTACAATGAAGAAAACTGGCAAACACTACCTAAGCCAAGGTTAAACACCACCAATGGCAAGTCACGTCAATGACATGTGCCTTTGATATGACGTGTTGAGTATGATACTTTACCTCTGTGGTCTTCATCCCAAAAACCTATAATCCCAGTCAAACAAAGACATCAGGCAAACCCAAATTGAGGGGCATTTTGCAATATACCTGACCAGTACTCAAAATTGTCAAGGTCATCAAAAACATGGTCTGAGACATTGTCACAACCCACAGGAACCTCAGAAGACATGACAACTCGGTGTAACGTGGGATCCTGGAACAACAATAACAAAAAAGGAGCTTAGGGAAAAACTACTGAAATCTGAATAAAATAGGAAGTTTAGTTAATATTGTATTGGTTTCAGTGTATTAGTTGTGACATATATAATGTTAAGATATTAACAATAAGAATAAACATGGGGCCAGGCACAGTGGTTCAGGCCTGTAATCCCAGCACTTGGGAGGCTGACTCAGGCAGATCACTTGGGTCCAGGAGTTGGAGACCAGCTTGGGCAATGGAGTGCAATCCTGACTCTACAAAAAAATACAAAAATTATTTGGGAGTGGTGGTGTAGACCACAACCGTAGTTCCAGCTATTTGGGAGGCTGAGATAGGAGGATCAATTGAGCCCAGGAGGTTGAAGTTGCAGTGAGCCGTGATTGCACCACTGACAGAGCAAGACCCTGCCAAAAAAAAAGAAAAAGAAAAAAAAATGATGAGAGGTATATAGGAACTCTGTACCATCCTTGCAACTTCTCTGCAAATTTAAAACTTTTTTTTTTTTTTTACAGTTTGGTATTTTTTATTATTATTATACTTTAAGTTTTAGGGTACATGTGCACAATGTGCAGGTTAGTTACATATATATACATGTGCCATGCTGGTGCGCTGCACCCACTAACTCATCATCTAGCATTAGGTATATCTCCCAATGCTATCGCTCCCCCCCCTGCTTTAAAACTATTTTAAAATGAAAAGTTTATCAAATTTACAAGAAGAAAAACATTAAAAAGTGGGCAAAGGACATGAACAGACACTTTTCAAAAGATGTCATACATGGAGCCAACAAGCGTATGAAAAAAAAGCTCAATATCACTGATCATTAGAGAAATGCTATGAAACCACAATGAGATACCATCTCACACCAGTCAGAATGACTGTTATTAAAAAGTCAAAAAACAACAGATGCTGGCGAGGTTGCAGAGAAAAGAGAATGCTTATACACTGTTGCTGGGAGTGTAAATTAGTTCAACCATTGTGGAAAGCAGTGTGGCAATTCCTCAAAGAGCTAAAAACAGAACTACTATTCGACCCAGCCATCCCATGACTGAGTATATGCTCAGGGGAATATAAATCATTCTACCGTAAAGACACACGCACATGAATGTTCACTGCAGCACTATTTACAATAGCAAAGACATGGAATCAACCTAAATGACCATCATGACAGACTGGATAAAGAAAATGTGGTCCATATACACCATGGAATGCTATGCAGCCATAAAAAGAATGAGATCATGTCTTTTGCAAGAACATGGATGGAGGTGGAGGCCATTATCCCTAGCAAACCAACACAGGAACAGAAAACCGAATACCGCATGTTCTCACTTAAGTGGGAGCTAGATGATGAGAACTCATGGACACAAAATGCGGAACAACAGGCACTGAGGCCTACTTGATTGGTGGAGAGTGGGAAGAGGGAGAGGATCAGGAAAAATAACTATTGAGTACTAGGCTTAGTACCGGGGTGACAAAATAATCTGTACAACAAACCCCCGTGAAATGAGTTTACCTATAGAACAAACCTGTATGTGTACCCCTGAACCTAAAACAAAAGTTTAAAAAATAAACAAAATTAAAAGTTTATTTAAAGTTTAAAAAAGATTCTGGCCAGGCTTGGTGGCTTACGCCTGTAATCCCAGCACTTTGGGAGGCAGAGGCAGGTGGATCATCTGAGGTCAGGAGTTTGAGACCAGACTGGTGAACCTGGTGAAACCCTGTCTCTACTAAAACTACAAAAAATTAGCTGGGCATGGTGGCAGGTGCCTATAATCCCACCTACTTGGGAGGCTGAGGCAGGAGAGTCACTTGAACCCGGGAGGCGGAGGCTGCAGTGAGCCAAGATCACGCCATTGCACTCCAGCCTGAGCAACAAGAGCGAAACTCCGTCTCAAAAAAAGAAAAAATAAAGATTCGATAGAAACAGCAGAGGAACTTTAGACATAGATAATTATTATCCCTTGTATCATCTTATGAAGAAATATTTGTGGGGTCAATATTAGATCCTTTGCCACCTTTTTTCTCCTCAGCCTTAAGCTCTCTGAAAAATAATCGGTTATGAGCTAAGCCAAATGAGCTCAGCATAAACCCAAAGCTGTGAAACTGAATCTTTACCATGGTACCACTGCAAGAATTGGTGGTTTGTTTTTTAAAATGATCTCTAGACTGTCAAATGATTTTGAATAGGACAAAAGAGAAATACATATTGTCCCAATTCAGCTTCATTTTGACCACCTTCTTTTTTATCTTCTATTTTGATATCATAAAATTGCTTTTGAATTAGATCTTTCAGTCTATCCCTGCATTGTCCCACTTCAGTGTCAACTCTGTGAGTCAAAGATTACGTCTGGATTGTTCACTAATATACCCTAAAGCTTAATGAATATTTGTTGAATGAATGAATGATGAACAGAAAGAAAAAGTTTTTTTATATGCAGATGACACTATTTGTGCCAAAAACGGGGAGGAATTTACGGTATGTAATCATCATCAAAAAGCTTAAGATGAGTTGTTTTAAAACCAGATTGCCCAGTTTAGCAAATGTTCTTATTTTTAACCCAATGTAGTATGTAAATTCAATTAAAAGAACTAGAAAACCATTTTGCCATTAACTGGAAGACTAATTTTATTGATTTAAGCTAAAATGTTTATCATCGCTGCAATAAAATTGTCATGACAACTATGAGTGATTGAGGACAACTGGTTGAACAATTTTTTAGACTAAAAGTACATGGTCTCACTTTACAGCATTGAACTTTTGAGCTTCAATCATTTGCCCACAGACTGTAAAAGAGAACTGTTTTTTTTGAGGAAAACTGTAATACTGCCTCTAGGTACCACTTCGGCTCCTCTGCAGGAAATGAATTCTAGGTGGATAGCTGTCAGGTCATTTTTTTTTTTTTAGACCAAAAGCAGTTTAATGATAAAGAACACAGATGTTCAATATGGAGATGAGAAAGGACAGGAAAGTTCTTGGCAAGATTAACTCAACTTTTTACTCCTGTCACATAAATGTGACTCCTCTCAAATGAATCATCACTTTTCGATTAGAGCTAAACAGTAATAAAGTGTCAATATGAAAATATGTTGAAATTTAAAAACTCATATCAGACTAATTATTTGTCATATAAATTCCACAAATCAAAAGCTTAATGGACATAAAATCACTCATGTTTACACGCTGTCTGGTCATTTTTATGAGAACATTAATTAGCCCTACCCTCCAACCAGTTGATTTTCTGAGCTTAGGGATCCACCCTTAATTGGCAAGATAAGAAGTTTTCAATCTAGGAAATTATTAGCCCTACAATCTTATATTATCTGCTACTCATGCAAAATTGGTTATATGAAATAATATTGCCGAACGCTATGAGGTCCTTTAATATTGAAAATTCCTAACCTGGGGTTTATGCAGCCCCCTGAAATTACATGCAAAATGTAATTTTAAGAGTGTTTATATATAAAACCCCTAATAAATGGTCTATACATCATCAGAATTTGAAAGTGGTCAATAATGCAAAGAACGTCCCTCCTTTAATTCAGCTTATTCTTGGATCAAGTCAAACCATCAGGCAGTTCGTTACTTGTTCAGTATTATTTTAGCCGATTTTAAAACTTTTTATATTTGAGTTTGAGTGTACTGGAATCAGACTGTAAAGGAGAGAATCTGTCATTGTAAGGATACTTGAAACCAGTGTTGTAAACCATGGTAGCCACTGTGAAAACCTATGGGTGAGATTTTCATTGATTCTTTGTCCTGGAAAAGGCTGGACCTCTGTTGAACATATGGTTTGGTTTTTCTTATAAGCATGTGAATCTTGAAACTGTTCATGTGTCCCTCTTCACTAGGAGAAGTGGGAAACAGACCAAATTTATAGGCACCCTTTATCAAAGGTATAGGCTTTTACGACATGCATTCAAAAAGTATTAATCTAAACCGTAACTCCATTGTATTACTTCCCTGTCTTCATGTCCCAATGTTCCAATTTCCTCCACTACTTCATGTTTTCCTTTTCTTCGGTATATTTCTTTAAAGCTTCACATCCTTTTTGAAATAAGATGTGAGATATAAATAGGCAATATAAAAAATAACTCAGCTAACACAAAAATTCTATCAAATTGTACTTTACTGAAATGAAGTTTCTGTCTTTGTTTATTGTTCCTTTTTCAAAACAAAGACAATAAAAATGAGAACATAAAAAGGTTTTAGTCCTTAATGCATAGAAAAATACTTTAATATAGAAGATGGCTTGGTAATGAAATGTACATTTCAGAAACCACAAAATATACTACATTAAATATTACTTTTTAGGATAATACTGCCATTAGTTTTGGCACAGTTTAATAGTCAATATTAATATATAAGATACCTTATAAAATTGGTTACAATTTTATTCCATTGACTATTGTATCTAAAAAATATATCACATTTGCCTTTTAACTGATGTTTTCTTTAAAACAAAGACACTTTAAAAAGACACCTTCTAAGTAAAAAATTGAGAAATTATCTGAAAATATTGGAATAATTCAATAGCAATAAAGCAATTACAACAAAAAACAACGTTTATCAGTATTAAATAATTTGTATAACTATGACAAGAAATATTTGACCTCATAAATACAAGTTTTCAGGTCGCTGTCATCTTGCTTGAGGTATTTTACATGTTTTCTCTTAAATGTAATACTCTCATTTTGTAAAATCTAGTCCTGTAAGATTTAAAAGAAGAAATTGTTAATATTCATTCCAATATGACTCTTAAATTTCCTGCTTTTATACAACCCTATTGAAAAAATTAATTTCAAAAGCCTAAATACATGTCTGATGTTTAAAATTTCTTCAACAAATGTAATATGAATAATTACAGGGTTAAATGGCTTTCTTATGAACTATTCATGGGCAAACAAGGATAATTTTAATTATCTACCAAAGTGTATTATATTCCAAGATCATTTAAAATTGTAAGTCAGAGCTTGTGTGGTTTGTAAATAATGTAAAATGAGTAAAAATGAGAATCAAAACCTATCATTTTAGGGAAAAAAACTAAATATGGTAAATTTGCTACCTTGTTGGATAACTTGAAAAAAATCAGAAGAATTAAATAGTGACTTTTAAAGAAAAGTAAACTGCTATTCTCTTAAATACACATTTAAATTACCTCCTGTTATTTTCTGTGGAAAATTATATTTGGGGGGCATCACCTGTCTTCTGCCCATTCCATGAGATCTTGAAAGCAAGCAGTCTACATACATGTCCCAGAAATCCTGAGCTATGTTTAAGAAGACATTATAATGTCCAGGCCGCTGAGATTTTTGCAAGAACAACATGAAATTCCAAAAAGCATCCACATTGTGCTCTATCTTGAGTTCCTTGAGATCTATCAATGTCAAAGAGCAAGCTTTCCAGCACTGGAGATCAATGTCTTTGGTGATTCCTGGGCTGATGCTGGCAAGCACTCCTTTTTGAAACTCAAAGTCAGCATTAACCAGATTGATCAGCATCATGCAGCCCAAATGTAGATAGAACCATCTTCTTGTAGCAAAACACATATTCTATACAGAAAAAAAAATGAGAGAGGATATATTTAACTTAAAAAAGTTATTCAATCACTTGATCTAAAAAACTGTAAGTACACATATATTTGCTTTTGATCAAGCCAAATCTGCTTACTAGGTATTCATTTTTTCTAAATTACTGATTATCACATCTTCCTTTAGGATATTACAGTTCCGGTTTGATTTCCAACGTTCTGATCAAGAGTCTTTGAAATGCAACACATTTATGAAAATGCAAAGGTTCATTTCATCACAGACCTTTAAAAGTGGCAGAAACCCTAAAGAGCTTATGCTCCAACCTTCTCCCTTTACTGATTAGATCATTAGTGATACGGTTCCGCAAGTCTTCAGACTCCTGACTGCCTATCCAAGACTCCTACCTACCACAACACATTTCAACTAAGTGGATCAAAATACAGTCCTTTCTACATGTAACATAGGAAGTATTTTGTTGTTGTTAATTGAGATATTATTAACCCAAATGGTACTAGATCTCACAAACACCGTTTAAGTCTCAAAGTTACTGCTATTTCCATTTTCATGTATTGAAAAATACTTGTTACGCACTAATATCCGGTGTATTCTTGGCTTCCCTCTGTTTAGGAGCTGGTTGGAGAAGATGAACGTAGACATACATGAAGTGGCACGAAAACAAAGGTGATATAAGGTAGGATGAGATAGTGCAGGGCCCATTACATTCAGCAAAATCTTGACATTTTTCTAATGCCTCTTTGCATGCCTCCTTGCCAACTGATTGTTGGGTAAAATCGGCCCAAAGCACATAAGAGGAAGTTAAAGACTAAGTTGGCATTGAATTGCCACACACCTGCTATTCAAGGCTGCTGTTGGAAATGTCCCTTTTACAACATTGACAGCCAACGGGGAGGGATAGGGAGAGGAGAACAGATCCAGAACACAGGACTCACCTTTCCCCCCGTACACAGCCGTCTGCCACCTCCCTAAAAAAGTTGGGCTGAAGAGAGAAATCATACGAATCAAATCTAAACAGGACATTCAAGTCATTTCACATCGTCGAAAATTGTGCAAATTCCCCAGACTGAGCTGAAAGCTGGCAGTTTATGATACATGATGTATCAGAGGGAATTTCTTCCCCCTCAATTTCAGGCTAGCGCCTCTCCCTGTGCCCCCAGCCCTGGGTCAGGTCACCTGGGCGCAGAAGAGGGAGGCCACGCGGGAGTCGAGGACCTCTGGTCGCCGTCCGAGGAGCGCGTCCCGGCGCGGTGTCCTGGGTGCGCTACGCTCGTTGGGAGGAGGACGGGGCGCCTCCTGCCCACGAGGAACCAGAGGTTTCAGCGGGGACGACCCCTGCCCAGGGCGCCCTCTGCCCAGCGGACCCACTTCCCGAGGCAGGCGAACTGGGCGAGGCAGCGCTGTGTCACCCACCCCGAGCGCTCACCGGGCGCCCAAGCTCGCTCAGCGGAACCGTCTCGGCCGCGGTGCGCTTCGGCGCTGGGAGGCTCTGGCTGGCACTGGCTCACCGCGGGTGGAGCTGCCGGTTCTGCTGCGGCCACGCGGGGTTCCCGAGACAGACCCGCCGCTGGGACCGCGATCCTTTTCTAGAGGCTGAGTGAGGGGGCAGATCGTGGGTGGCCGCGCTCTCGAGGCCCCTCCCTGACCTCGCCCAACTTCCCAGCCTCCAGACCTCGGGGGCCTCTGCGCCCTGCGGCCCTGCTTTGGCCGCTGCTCTCGCCTCTCCTGCCCTCCTCCGACTTTCTTGCTATGCCAAAGGCTCAGGGTCTTCTTCGCTCTCTCCTTCTTACTTTGTTCCTTCTTTTTTCTTAGCTGAGAAGATCCATCTCGGCATTAGTCAGTCCACATACCCAAGTTATCTTCTCCCTCCGCCCACCCATGCTCCACACCGTATTCTCCTATCCAGAGAAAAATTCTCTTAAGGCTGTGAACTCTCTTAAAATGCTAAACCTCCTTGAACGGTTCTAATCTCTAGCTAAACACAGTTTATTATTAACGCTAACACATACACACGCGCAAACATACCCTTGCTTCTACACTGGGGGAAATGTTTCCTTTATCCCTTCATGGATGAAGACCCGAGCAAGTACCTTGAATTTCACATATGTATGTTGTCCATCAATCTCAGCCCCAACACATCACTTGGACTATATATGAGTTTAAGTCTACCTGCTCTGCCTATAGCCCAGCAGCGATGATCAGATGGGGCTAGGGAAATCAAAGCCAGCTGCCTTATCCCCATTTCCCCTCAGGCAGGCCACCCTTCTCACAGGTTCTTGAGCTGGGATGGTGAGATCATGGGGTGAGATGAGTGCCAAACCAAACAGCCCAGTTCCCCAGTCATTGTCCCTGCTAAAGCTCACTTCTCCCAGCACCCACCATTATTCAAAGCTCCACCCTGTTCTCATCCTGTTGGTGGAGCTAACGTAGTCAATCATTAGTTCTGCCCTGGCAATGCCTTTTTATGCCCCTTCTATCTGCAGGACCACCTCCTGCACAAAACAGAACTGAGAAAAGGGGAAGACTTGTTTACTCGGATTAGGTAGGATATACACGAATCCATCTCACACCAGATATTCTTCTGCTGTAGACTTCCAAGTGTTTCAGTCCACCATTAATCATGGACTCTCACAATTAGCAGAGATGCAGAGTGACCTAATCCAACATCCCAGCTGAAACGTGAACAAACCACCCTCCCAAGGAATTTGTCCACCCACCAAAGCTGTTTTCCAATGTGACTTAACCTTGGGCACATGTCCCCACCCCCAAAGGAAGCAACCCCTTCCATCTTTGGGTTAATGTTGGCTTCCTTCTAAAATGAATTGGCTCAATTTCTCTGTTGAGTAACCACATAGTTCCTGTCCGTCTTTTTTGAAAGATATACTTTATTTTTCATAAAACATTTTTATCTGTTTACAAGTATTCAAAACCTATTGAAAAGTTGTAAAATACAGAAAAATGTAAGGAGACAGGTAATAGTTGTCATTAAAATGCATTTTTAAAGAATATTCTAATATTAGAATTAGAGTAATGTACTAAATAGGAGTACATATTTGGGTATGATTATTATAACACACACACAGGAATGGTATTCTGAATAGAGAACTTATATAAATCAATAATAGAAAAATAAGGGTAATTGACAGAAGAGTAGACCTTAATATTCAGTAAACATGAGAAAAAATACTGAAATATTCTAAATTTAGATAGACTTAATAACAAAGCCATTTCAAGGAAATGATATATTGTCTTCCCCAAATGAAGCTTAACAAAAATTAATTTGGTAAAATACAATCTCAGCAATTTTTTGAGAAAATGAACACTTCATATGCTTTTGATGAGACTATCAGCTGGTATAATCACCAAGGAAGAAAACTGGCATTATCTGTTTAATCTGAAAGTGATCTAGAAATTTTACTCTTGGTGTCTACCCCCAAGTCAGTGAGAGAAGATATTCTTTATGTGAGTGATTTTTCTGAAGGGTCTACTTGCTACATTCAAATAGAATCTGGCAAAATGATGACAAACATAATTTTTAAATCATCATTGGGTGATCAAGAAAGTGAAATCTCCAGGGAAAAGGCGGATGGAGGCAAAGCATAAAGAATCAGAATATGGAAAAGAAGAAAGAAGAGAAAGAGAGAAGGAAGAGAGGAAAGTGAGATGTAGATAGTAAGTTTAGGCTTTATTAAAACTGGTATCTACAGTAAAAAGTGAGATATAGATATTGAATTTAGACTTTGCAAAGTTGTTAAATATGTATGGTAAAATTTCTCAGGCAATTCCTAAATGACGGAAATAGAGAACAAAACTCTTGAACCAGGGAGAAAAACAGATTGACAAATAAAAAATTAATTGAGAAAGCAAGAAGAGAGAAAAAAGCACAGCAAAAGTGACAAGTAGAAAGTAAATTTATAAGATTCAAGTCAACAATCATAATAATAGTCTGAACTTCTTGATTAAAGGAAGGAAGATGTGGTTGGATTTTAAATTCTGCTATGTGCTTTTACAAAAGATACACACACCCAAAATGAGGACAGAGAAACTTGAAAAGAATGGAAACAAATATACCATGCACATGTTAATTGTATTTTAAACTGACAGCTTTATTAATACAAAAAAGCACGATGAAGGAGAAAGGGGAACACTACATAATGATAAAAGACTCAATTCAGGAAGAAGATAAAAATATTCTAAATTTAGATATACCTAATAACGAAGCTACAGAATACATAAAACAAAAACTGACAGAAGTAGAGGGAAATTTTCACAAACTCACTATCATAGTGGGAGAGTTCCACAAGCCTTTAGGTTAAGATGATAAATAATACTAAATGTGTAGATGATTTGAACCGTCAAGTTATAAGGAACCATGAAACTTGCAGTTAAAGAACACATTCCTCCCATTAGAAAATAAAGCAAGTCTCGGGTGCAGCACACCAACATGGCACATGTATACATATGTAACAAACCTGCATGTTGTGCACATGTACCCTAAAACTTAAAGTATAATAATAATAAAATAAAAGAAAAAATAAAGTCTCATGAAATTTAAAGCAAGTCTCAACAAATTTCAAAAACTAGTATCACTCAAACTTCGTTGCCTGACCACAACACAGAAAGTTTAAAAGTCTAAAAAGTGTTTTAAGAAATATAAAAACAAGAACGTAGTTTTTCATGTTTTGAAATTTAAACAATAAATGTACTTATTTATGCAATAACTTTAAACAATCGATTTTAAAATAAAATACAATGGAAATTATAAAATATTTCAAACTGTGTGATTAAAAAACATTGCATATCAAAACTTGTGAGAAGCCAGTAAGAGGATCCTTTAAAGGAAATTAACAGCTTTAAACACTTGTGCCAAAAGAAGAGAGGCTGAAAATCTGATAGAGTGATAAATGCAACCAAATTTAACAGCTGGTAAAATAGCAGAAAAAAGGCTCTCAAAAGTTAAGAGATTTTACAAAAACACACATTAGTGAACTAAGGCAAAAAGAGTTGATTCTTTGAATAAAATAAAGCAACCTCTGATGAGGCTGATCAAGAAAGAAAATGAAAGGTAGAAAATGATATATATCTATAGATAGCAAATAAAGATTAAAACTAGATACACGAATACTAACAACCAACATATACCATATATTTGAAATTTTAAATTAAATTAATAAATTCCTAGAAAAAATATCTATAAAACTTGGCCAGGCGCAGTGGCTCACGCCTATAATCCTAGCACTTTGGGAGGCTGAGGCAGGTGGATCACCTGAGGTCCAAAGTTCGAGACCAGCCTGGTGAACATGGCGAAAACCCATCTCTACTAAAAATACAAAAATTAGCCAGGCATGGTGGCGCGTGCCTGTAATCCCAACTGCCCAGAAGGCTGCGGCAGGAGAATCGGTGGAAACCAGGAGACGGAGGCTGCAGTGAGCCGAGATCGCACCACTGCACTCTAGCCTGGGCGACAAAGAAAGACTATGGAAAATAAAAAGAAAAAAGAAAAAAATCTATAACAGTCATGTAAGAATAACTACAAAGCCAGAATAGTAAATGCTGTTTAAAGACCTTGAATAAGTAGTTTAAAATCTTCCCACTGGGAAAAAAAAAATCAAGCCCATATGATTTTGCAGGGCAACTTTCAAGGATCAAGTACTTCCTGAAAATTAGAAAAGAAGGAAATCTCCCAGACTCATTCTAACAAAATGAGACAAGGACGATCTGAAAAAGAGTAAAGTCACAGGCCATCTTACTAATGATTACAGATAAAAATAAATTCTAAACAAAATATTGACATACCAAATTCAGTAGGACTTAGAAAAAACCCAGCAGTATCAAGCTTGGATTATCCTAGGGATGCACGGGTAGTTTAACACAGGGGGGCCCAGGCCGTAGATTGGTACCAGTCTGTGGTCTGTTAAGGACCCAGCCGTACAGCAGAAGGTGAGCTGTGGGCCAGCAAGCATTATCACCTGAGCTTTGCCTCCTGTCAGATCAGCAGCAGCATTATTCTCATAGGAGCGTGAACCTTAGTGTGAACTGCACATGCAAGGGATATAGGTTGCTGCTCCTTATGAGAATCTAACGCCTGATGATCTGAAGTGAAAAAGTTTCATCCCAAAACATCCCTCCCTGCCCTCCCCACCCACCCCATCTGTGGAAAACTTGTCCTCCACAAAACTGGTCCCCAGTGCCAAAAAGGTTAGGGACTATTGGTTTAACATATTAAAATCAATGACTATATTTACCATGTACACAAATTAAATGGGAGGCTGGGCACGGTGGCTCATGCCTGTAATCCTAGCACTTTGGGAGGCCAAGGAGGGCAAATTGCTTGAGTTCACGAGTTCGAGACCAGCCTGGGCAACATGGCAAAAACCTGTCTCTACAAAAAAATACAAAAATTAGCCAGGCACAGTGGCACACGCCTATAGTCCCAGCTACTTGAGAGGCTGAAGAGGGAGAATCACTTGAGTCCAGAAGGTAGAGGTTGCAGTGAGCTAAGATCACGCCATTGCACTCTAGCCTAGGTGACAGAGTGAGACTCTGTCTCAAAAAAAATTTTTTTTAAATTAAAAGAAAATAAATTGATAAAATTCAACACCCATTCATGATTAAAAAGCAAAAACAACTCTTAGCAAACTAAGACTAGACAAAATTTTCTTAACCTCATAAATGTTATCCACTAGAACCCTACAGCAAACATCTTTCTTATGGTAAAATACTAAAATAATTCTCTTTTAATTTAGGAGCGAGAAAAGATGTGCATCATCTCTGCTAACATTTAAAATAATACCTGCAAAGAAAGGGTTAGAAAAAAGTGGGGAGTGGTATAAGGAAAAGAAAGAGAGAAAAAGAGAAAGAGAGAGGGAAGGAAGGGAAAGGAGGGGAGGGGAATGAAGGGGAGGGGAGGGGAGGGAAAGGGAGGGGAGGGGAGGGGAGGGCCGGGCAGGGCAGGGAAGGAAAGGGAAGGATCACAACTGGATAGCCTAGCAGAGAGGCAGCAAAGCTCTTGGTGAGCATGGAGCTTAGAAATCAACTGCCTGGGTTTAAGTCCTCCCTTCTGTGTTCAGATGGTAATTTGTGGCTTTGAGCTAATGATTTAATCTCTTTGTGGTTAATTTCCTTGTGAGTAAAATGGAGATGAAAAATGACCCTGCTTAAAAGGGCTGTTGTGATAAATATTTAGTGTTCTGAATAGTGCCTAGCACAGCATGCTATGTGGAATCATTTGCTTAGAAATAATAATAACATAAATTATACTGACAAATTAACAAGTTTTGTTAAGTGGTTGAATATAAGATCAATCTACAAAATCTACTGCATCAACTATATACGAGCAAAAGACCAGAACATATAAATTAGAAAAGAGATGCCATTTACAATAGCAGTAAGATGTATAAGGTAACTAGGAATAAATTTAACATAGGTAAATGAATTCTAAGTGGAGATTTTTAAAATTTTTATTGAAAGACATAAAAGACAATCTAAATAAAAATAATGCTAATATATGATCTATAAAGATATCATCTGCCCAAAGTAATATATGCATTTTCAATCAAAATCACAACAGGGTTAATGAAAATGTGATGCTAAAAGTTACATGGTAAAGCAAAGGCTCAAGACAGCCAAAATTCTCCTAAAGAAGGCCAGGCACAGTGGCTTATGCCTGTAATCCCAGCATGTGAGGAGGCCAAAGCAAGAGGATTGCTTGAGCCCAGGAGTTCCAGACCAACCTGGGCAACATAGTAGGACTTAGTTGCTACAAAAAATTTTAAAAATTAGCCAGGCATGGTGGTGTATGCCTGTAGTCCCAGCTACTTGAGAGGCTGAGGTGGGAGGATCACTTGAGTCAGGGAGGTTGAGGCTACAGTGAGCCATGATCATACCACTGCATGCCAGCCTGGGCAACAGAGTGAAACCCTGTCTCAAAAAAAAAAAAAAATTATCCTGAAGAAGAACAGTAAGGAGCAGGGTACTCACTAGTTATTAAACGGGAGGTTATTGGCTCAGGAATAAAGAAATTAAACAATGGACCAGATTACAGACCCTAAAAATAAACCTATCCATTTATAGAAATGTGTAAAACAACATGGGATTTTCTTTTTTTTTTTAATTATACTTTAAGTTCTAAGGTACGTGTGCAGGTTTGTTACATATGTATACATGTGCCATGTTGGTGTGCTGCACCCATTAACTCGTCATTTACATTAGGTATATCTCCTAATGCTATCCCTCTCCCCTCCCCCCACCCCACGACAGGCCCTGGTGTGTGATGTTCCCCACCCTGTGTCCAAATGTTCTCATTAGAACAGTGGATTTTCAATAAATAAAGCTGGGAAAACTGGTTACCCATATGGAAAACGAAATTAGATTCCTACGTTATACCATCATAAAAATCAATCCCAGGTATATTATTAATTTAAATATGAAAAGCAAAGCATTTGTACTTTAAAAAGAACATCAGAAGAATATCTTTCTGATCTTGGGGTTGAGAAGGACTTCTTACACCAGACACAAATAGTGCTGACCATAAAAGGATAATTAATACATTTGACTGCATTAAAATTAATGTCCTGTTAATCACGAGACACTATAAAGATAAAAAATAATTATATTCTGAGAGAAGATATATTCAGCACTTATAATCACAAATGAATTAGGATTAAGAGCCAAGATAGAAGACACTTCCATCGAATCAAGAAAAAGATAAACACAATAATAGAAATCTGGGCAATAGGCATAAAGAGGCATTTCATAGATTAGGAAACATAAATAATGAATAAATACACACACATATTCATTATTTAATTGCAGGCAGGAAAGTGCAATAGGGTTAATGAAAATGTGACTCTAGGGGGTTATATGGTAAAGCAAAGGCCTAAGATAGCTAAAATTCTCCTAAAGAAGGCCAGATTCAGTGACTCATGCCTGTAATCCCAACATTTGGGGAGGCTAAGGCAAGAGGATTATATGAGCCCAGGAGTTCAAGAACAACCTGGGCAACATAGTGGGGCCATGAGATGTGCACTTGTACCCATCAGGTCAAACATTAAGAAGTCTGACAATATCAAGTGTTGGAGACTGGGTGTGGTGGCTTATGCCCGTAATCCTAGTGCTTTGGGACACAAAGGCAGGAAGATCACTTGAGGCTAGGAGTTCAAGACTATCCTTGGAAAGGCCCCTACTCCACAATTTTTTTTAACTGGGTTGAGTATGGTGCCATGTGCCTGTAGTTCCAGCTACTTGGGAGGCTGAGGTGGGCAGATCACTTGAGCTCAAGAGTTTGAGGTTCCAGTGAGCTATGATCCCACCACTGCACTCCAGCCTGGGTGACGTGAGACTCCGACTTAAAAAATATCAAGTGTCAAGTGTTGGTGAACATATGAAGAATGTTAGTCAGGGTTCTCCAAAGAAACAGAACCAATAGGATCTAGCTAACATATGTATATATTATATTTTATATAAAGATATATATATATATATATATATATATATATGAAGAGATGTATTATAAAAAATTGGTTCATGTGATTATGGAGGCTGAGAAGCCCCACAATCTGCCATCTGCAAGCTAGAGACTTAGGAAAGTCAGTGGTATAGTTCCAGCCTGAGTCCAAAGGCCTTAAAACGAGGAAAGCTGACAGTGTAAGTTCAAGTCTAGGCCTAAAAGCTTGAGAACCCGGAGAGCCAATGGTGTTAAGTTCTAGTGTGAGAGCAGAAGACTAATGTCTCAGCTCAATCAGTCAGGAAGAATCAGTAAATTCTCCCTTCCTCCACCTTTTTGTTCTATTCACGCCTTGAGTGAACTGGATGATGCCTATACAATGAATTGGCTGATGGGGAGGGCAATCTGCTTTATTCAGCCTGCCAATTCAAATGCTAGTATCATCCAGCAACACACTCACAGACACACCCAGAAATAATATTTAAACAAATATCTGGGTACCCCATGGCCAGTCAAGTTGTTACATATAACTAACCATCACATGAGGCAGTAGGACTCTTGCATAGTGCTAGGAGGAGCATAAATTGGTACAATCAGTCTAGAACACAAACTGGCACCATCTTCTAAGTCTGAACAAGTATGTAACTTGCAATAAGTTTTTCAATCCCAGGAATATATCTTGAAGAAATTCTTGCAAATAGGTGACAAGAAACATACCCTAAAACGGAATATTCATGGTAGCATTGTTCACAAAAGCAAAAACATGGAAAAAATCAAAATGATCACTAACATAATAGATAAATTAACTGTGGTATATCCAACATTGCAAGTTGTTATTTGACAGTGAAAAGGAATAGACTACAGCTATATGAGTTACAGATTTTAAAAAATGGATTGCTGAATATATCATTTTTATGAAGTTCAAAGACAAGCAAAATTAAACCATATATTCTTTCTTTACAAATACATACATTTGATAAAGCAGTTTTAATAGTAAGGAAGTAATTCACACAAATTCAGGAGAGTGGTTATGTTTAGATATATGAGGAAACAAGATCTGGAAAGAATTTATAGAGTGTCTTTACAGACAGTGATTTCACTAGTCTTCTTACGCCTATGGTTTCTAACTATATATGTTAGAATATTTAGAATATATATAACATGTATAGGATATATCTGTTAGAATATATATTTTTCTATTATCAAATAATGCATAATAAAACATTTAGAACAATGACAGAAATGACATATTTCAAAGATAGAAAGATAAAACATAGGTCGGGTGCGGTGGCTCACACCTGTAATCCCAGCACTTTGGGAGGCCGAGGCAGATGGATCACAAGGTCAAGAGATCAAGACCATCCTGGCCAACAAGGTGAAATCCCGTCTCTACTAAAAATACAAAAATTAGCTGGGCATGGTGGGTGCACGCCTGTAGTCCCAGCTACTCAGGAGGCTGAGGCAGGAGAATCGCTTGAACCGGGAGGCGGGGGTTGCAGTGAGCCCAGATTGCGCCACTACACTCCAGCATGGAGACAGAGCGAGACTCTGTCTCAAAAAAAAAAAAAAAAAAAAAAAAAAGAAAGATAAAACATGGTGATTTATCGCATTGATATGAGATGGAGCGAGAACAAAAAAGAACGAGTGCTTTCAGCATACCTGCTTATGGAGTGTCATTGACAAATATGAAAGATCGAAAGGAAGATGATTAGGGGAGAATGAATTTGATTTAGGATGTGTTGTATTAGAGTTGATTCTGGATCTTCTGGAATATCTAAAATTTATCTAGAAATATAACTAGTTTGAGAGGTCTCTGTTTTGACAGAAAATTAGTGCCGCAGGTCGAGACCAGCCTGGCTAACATGGTGAAACCCCGTCTCTACTAAAAATACAAAAATTACCCGTGCGTGATGGTGTGCACCCGTAATCCCATCTACTCAGGAGTCTGAGGCACGAGAATTGCTTGAACCTGGGAGGCAGAGGTTGCAGTGAGCTGAGATTGTGCCACTGCACTCCAGCCTGGGCAACAAGAGTGCGACCCTGTCTCAAAAAAAAAAAAAAAAAAAAAAAAAAAAAAGAGAAAGAAAAGAAAAGAAAAAAGAAAATTAGTGAATTAGTGCCACCATGACAGTATACATTGATAAAAGAAAGTTGAGATGAATATGGGGACCTATGCCCAAATTTCGGGGCTCATAAACTGCAAATGGAATCAATGAAGGAAGACAGGAAAGAATAATCAGCCTATGTAAGCTCCAGGGTGATATAATGTCATAGAACCAAAGAGAGGACATAGTTGAAGAACCAGAAGACTGCTGTAGGGTCAAACACTTTAGAGAGCGGTAGGAGAATTGGATTTGAGACAGATTTTTCATTTGGCAAAATGGAAGAGAAGCGGAAAACTCAGAAGCACACAACACATGTTAAGACAGTCATGATAAATTTATGTAAATGTTTAGATTTTACAGTTGGTTATTTATAAAGTCAAGTGTATTACCTAACGAATCCACCTAATTTATCATCATAGCCCAAACAAGCCATCTAACTAAGCAAGTATGTTTTCCAAGCCACGCATTTTTTTATTAGAATTGTCTTCACGAGCAGCAATATATTCACCATCATCCCGTTCCTAGAATATTTCTGTTATCCCCAGACTTCATCTATAAGTCATATCATAGAGCATTTCTCCCTTTATCTCTTTCACCTGACCCAACTCTAAAGCTCTTTCTACACAACTGAGCTTTACCTCTGCAATTGGGTATCTATATTCACTATATTACTTGACATCCATTTTTGAATGACTATAATACGTTGTCTTTCTTCCATGAAAGCATATAATGTTCTCCTACAAGCTTATAAAAATGTCTCTATTTCACATGTTTTTAATGACTGGTATATAGTACAATGGACACAATAAATATTTTTAGCTGATTTCTATTTCATATCCATGCTATTGCCCCCTCTGAGGGAGTTTTGTCAGCTTTCCACCAGCCACACCCCTTAATTCTTTCAGAACTCCAGTGCTGCTTGAGATTTCCTGGTTTAATCAGGCCAGTAGCCTATTCATTTGCCCACATGCTTCCTACTTTCCAATCACTTAGTGCAGTTTTGTCACAGTTGTGTTAATCCCATTTCTCCTTTATTGAGCGTGCTTCTCCAGGAAATATTGCCATCATCACTCCCCACAAAATCTAGAAGGTCACTCCACACACCGTCAGGACATGTTGACTGAGTAATGCTGCTGAATACCTACAAAAAGAATAATTTTTCAATTCATTAACTTTTTGACTCAGTATAATGAAAGACATTAATTTGAAACATCTACAATTGCAATTGCCTCTAGTAAACTTTAATAACAATGTATTTATCAAAGTGCGATTCAATCACCTTGGGGAGAAAGAAAGCAGGAAATGAAGTTGAAACAAGTAAGTACCCTTCAGAGAAAACAAGCACTTGTTGACAGCTGACTAATTGAAGAGAAAGAAGGCATTCTTTTTTCAGGAACACAGGAGACAAAGATGAACAAAAGACTGTCTCAGAGACAGGAAAAAAATAGTTCAGGAGGGAAGTGAAAAAGAGATCACTAGTCCTTACCTCTTCCAAAAGGGATGATTAGTAGAAAATATTTTGTTATTGTTTAAGAACAAGAAATACAAATTTATCTTAGGACATAAAGACAAACACAAAGGCATATAAACATTGTGTATTTTAGGATCCTCGTTTTCCTTTTTTGCATAATTTTTTAGTGGTTGTTCTAAGCATTGCAATATATATCCTTAATATTTCAGACTACTTAGAGTTAATATTGAATCAATTCATTTAAAATGTAGAAATCTTGCAAGGTATGAGTTCATTTACTCACCTTTTCATCCTTTTTGCTATAGTTGTCAAATGCATTACGTTATAAATCCTATGATGCAATGTTATCATTTTCAGTGCTCTTTATTTTTTGCCGCTGAAGACCTGATTTTCCATCTGGTTGTATTTCTCTTCAACCTGAAGAACTTCTTTGGTATTTCTTATAGTACGTGTTCACTGGCTACATATACTTTTAGTTTTCTTTATCTGGAAATGTATTTTACTTCACCATCATTCTTTTAGAATTATTTTCACTGGATATAGAATTTAATGTAGTTTTGAGTTTTGTTTTATTCTTTAAAGATGTTGTTCCACTGTCTTCTGGTCTCCATTATTTTTCTGATGAGAAGACATCAATCATTCAAATCACAATTCCCTTATATGTAATGTGTCATTTTTCTCTGACAGCTTTCAAAATATCTTTAGTTTTCTGCAACTTGCTGACAATGTGCCAGGTGTGTGCAATGCAATTCTGACATTACCTAGAGTGAGGTCAAATTTCACAAGTTAAGGGTACAGTCTTCCATAAGAGCTCCCTTATTTTGTTATAGGTAGTTAGGCATGAGTGGGGCACGTGAGGGCTCTCCCCCAGCCACTAGGAATGTCAGGTGATGGTTCAGCAATTATCACATTGACTCTCTAAAAGTGACAAATTGGTAGCCAGTGCAAGGGAGAGGCCATTTCCTGATGATCCACAGCTACTGCACTGAAGTGTCCACTGAATATAGATGCCAGAGAGAAGGAACTTACTGAGCATGCACATTAAGACACAAAATGGCAGAGTATGACCTTCCAAGGGCACAGCACCAGAAAAGGGAAAAAAGCCTCAGATGGGCATGTGTACAACTAAACACACCACGCACGCTCACTTCCCAAGCACAAGGAGTGCACTGCACATGCAGGCAGCCCACTCTAAGGGAAGAATCATGGGAAAGGGGCCAGCCTATAAAGTCCTAGGATCAAGGTAAAGCACTGCACTTGTTCTTCAAGTTGCCTGATTGGATCTCTTCCAAGTGTACTTTCCTTTCTTTCCTGTTCTAATGCCTTCTTAATAAACTTCCACTCCTGCTCTGAAACTTGCCTAAGTCTCTTTTTTTTCTGCTTTATGCCCCTCCATCAAATTCTTTATTCTGAGGAGGCAAGAACTGATGTTGCTGCAGACCTGTACAGATTCATCGCTGGTAACTCAGATACTGAGAGGTGACAGCATGCTGGCAGCCCTTGCAGCCCTCGCTGGTTCTTGGCGCCTCCTCGGCCTCGGCACCCACTCTGGCCGTGCTTGAGGAGCCCTTCAGCCCCCCGCCGCACTGTGGGAGCCCCTTCCTGGGATGGGCGAGGCCGGAGGCAGCTCCCTCAGCCTGCGGGGAGGTGTGGAGGGAGAGGCACGGGCGGGAACCGGGGCTGCGCGCCGCGCTTGCTGGCCAGCTAGAGTTCTGGGTGGGCGTGGGCTTGGCGGGCCCGCACTCGGAGCAGCCAGCCGGCCCCGCAGGCCCGGGGCAGTGAGGGTAATTAGGATCCGGGCCAGCAGCTGCGGAGGGTGCGCGGGGTCCCCCACCAGTGCCGGCCCTGTGGCGCTACACTCGATTTCTCGCCGGGCCTTAGCCGCCTCCCCACGGGGCAGGGCTCGGGACCTGCAGCCTGGGCACCCTCCCCCCCACCTGTGGGCTCCTGCGCAGACCGAGCCTCCCGACCAGCGCCGCCCCCTGCTCCACGGTGCCCAGTCCCATCAACCGCCCAAGGGCTGAGAAGTGCGGGCACACGGGGCAGGACTGGCAGGCGGCTCCCGCTGGGACCCTAGTGCGGGATCCACTGGGTGAAGCCAGCTGGGCCCCTGAGTCTACTGGGGACTTGGAGAACCTTTATGTCTAGCTAACGGATTGTAAATACACCGATCAGCACTCTGTGTCTAGCTCAAGGTTTGTAAATACACCAATCAGCACTCTGTATCTAGCTAATCTAGTGAGGACATGGAGAACTTTTGTGTCTAGCTCAGGGATTGTAAATGCACCAATCAGCACCCTGTCAAAACAGACCAATCAGGTCTCTGTAAAACAGACCAATCAGCTCTCTGTAAAATGAACCAATCAGCAGGATGTGGGTGGGGCCAGATAAGAGAATAAAAGCAGGCTTCCCCAGCCAGCAGGGGCAATAGGCTCAGGTTCTCTTCCTTGCTGTGGAAGTTTTGTTCTTTTGCTCTTTGCAAAAGCTCTTGCTACTGCTCATTCTTTGGGTTCATACTGCCTTTATGAGCAGTAACACTGATCACGAAGGTCTGTAGCTTCACTGCTGAAGCCAGCAAGACCACAAACCCACTGGGAGGAATGAACAACTCCAGACCTGCTGCCTTAGGAGTTCTAATGCTCACCGTGGAGGTTTGCAGCTTCACTCCTGAGGCCAGCAAGACCACGAACCCACCAGAAGGAAGAAACTCTGAACACATCTGAACATCAGAAGGAACAAACTCTGAACACGCTGCCTTTAAGAACTGTAACACTCACCACGAGGGTCCAAGGCTTCATTGTTGAAGTCAGTGAGACCAAGAACCCACCAATTCCGGACACAATATCTTCCACCAGTAACACCTTCAGAAACTAGTTGCAAGCCCGGGATTGCTAGGTCCTTGTTCTTCTGACTGACTGGCTACAAATTCAGGCATTCCCATTGCCCCATCAGATTCTGTAATTTGCTAGAAATGACTTGCAGAACTCAGGAAAGTATTTATACTTATAGTTTTATTATAAAGGATATAGATCAGGACCAGAAAATGAAGAGATCCACAGAATGCAGTCTGGGAAGGTTCCAAACACAAAAGCTTCTGTGTCCTAAGAGCATTACTTTTTTGAATCATTAATATATAATTGCCAGTTACAGAAGCTCACCTGTGCCTTGGTGCCAGAATGTTTACTGGCGGTTTTTTTCTTTTCTTTCTTTCTTTCTTTTTTTTTTTTTTGACACAGGGTCTCACTCTGTTACCCAGGCTGGAGTGCAGTGGCATGATCTTGGCTCACTGCAGCATCTGCCTCCTGGGTTCTAGCGATTCTCCTACCTCAGCCTCCCAGGTAGCTGGGATTACAGGCACGCACCACCATGCCCAGCTAATTTTTGTATTTTTAGTAGATAAGGGGTTTCACCATGTTGGTCAGGCTGGTCTTGAACTCCTGATCTCAGGCGATCCACCCACCTCGGCCTCCCGAAGTGCTGGGGTTACAGGTGTGAGCCACCACACCCAGCTTGGAGTTTTGTTATATAGGCATGATTGATTGAACTGTAACTTGAAATATCAGGGGTTTGGTCCAGGTCCTGCTGCTTGCTGCACAGAAAGCCAGTCACTAAGACAATCATTATTGCCAAGGAAGAAGACTTTAATGGGGTCCTGCAGTCAAGGAGATAGGAGATCAGTCTCAAATCCATCTCCCCGACCAACTAAAATTAGGGGTTTATTTAGCAGGAAAGAAACATAATTACGTGTGGAAAAGCAGGAACTCAGGTGGGGTAAGAAACCAATCGTGATGAATGAGGGCTTGAACTCTCATTGTCTGGTGAGTTTCAGTTCTTTCATACTTTATTTATTTATTTATTTTTGAGACAAGGTCTCACTCTGTTGCCCAGGCTACAGTGCAGTGGCACAATCACCACTCACTGCAGCCTCACCCTCCTGGACTCAAGCAATCCTCCCACTTCAGCCTCCCGAGTAGCTAGGACTATCGGTGCATGATACCATGCCCAGCTAATTTTTGTAGTTTTTATAGAGATGAGGTTTCACCACGTTGCCCAGGCTGGTGTCAAACTCCTGGGCTCTAGCAATCTGCCCTACCTTGGCCTCCTAAAGTGCTGGGGTTACATGTGAGAGCTACTGTCCCTGGCCTCTTTGATACTTTTTGAGAGGCCTGGGGGTCCTTTCCTGAGGAACTCACATAAAAGATAGGTAAGTTTCAAGCTTTAAGACCATAAGGGTCAATTTCTATATTTATCCAAAAAAACCATCTAGTGGTCTGTTGCATCAGTTTCAGAATCATTGGTCACATGATTGAACTGAATCCCCAGCCCTCCCCACCACCCACCACCCACCACCCACCACCCTACCAAGAGGTACAGCTTATATCACATGCAATAACATAGTTGGTCATTCTGATATGGTCAGCCCCCAGCCTGAGTCATCTCATTTGCATAAACTCAAGTGTGATCCCAAGGGCCCATCAAGGATAAAAGATAATTCTATCACCCCAAAAAATTCCAAGGATTTAGAGGTCATCTCCCAGGGACAGAGGTCAAATTCTTTACAACAGTGTGGTTTTCTTTGTATTTATCCAACTTCTTGGGGTTTGCTGAGCTTCTTTTTATTTTTTTAAGACAGGGTTTACCCTGTTGCCAGGTGGGACTGCAGTGGCATAATCAGAGCTCACTGTAGCCTCAAAACTCCTGGGCTCAAGCAATCCTCCTGCCATAGACTCCCAAGTAGCTGGGACTACAGGCGTGCACCACTACACCTGACTCATTATTTTTAATTTTTTGTAGAAACAGGGTTTGCTTTGTTGCTCAGGCTTGTCGCAAACCCCCATTGTATCCTGGTAGTAACTAACTTCTTTTGTATTTTACAGGTTCATAGGTGGAAGAGACTTGCCTTGTCTCAGATGAGACTTTAGACTTGGACTTCTGAGTTAATGAGAGAATAAGACTTTGGGGGACTGTTGGGAAGGCATGATTGTGTTCCAAAATGTGAGAAGGACATGAGATTTGGGAGGGGCCGGGGGCAGAATGCGATTTGGAAGGGGCTAGGGGCAGAATAATATGGTTTGGCTCTGTGTCCCCAAGTAAACCTCATATTGAATTATAATCCTCAGTGCTGAAGGAGGGGCTTCATGGGAGATGACCGGATCATAGGAGCAGACTTCTCCCTTACTGTTCTTGTTTTGTTTTGTTTTGTTTTGTTTTTGAGATGCAGTCTCGCTCTCTCGCCCAGGCTGGAGTGCAGTGACGTGATCTCGGCTCACTGTAAGCTCCGCTTCCTGAGTTCATGCCATTCTCCTGCCTCAGCCTCTCGAGTAGCTGGGACTACAGGCACCCACCACCATGCCCGGCTAATTTGTTTTTTTTTTTTTTTTTTTTTTGTCTTTCAGTAGAGACGGGATTTCACCGTGTTAGCCGGGATGGTCTCGATCTCCTGACCTCGTGATCCACCCGCCTCGGCCTCCCAAAGTGCTGGGATTACAGGCGTGAGCCACTGCGCGCGCGCCCGGCCCCTTACCGTTCTTGGAATAGTGAGTGAGTTCTCATGAGATCTGGTTGATTAAGGTGTGTAGCACTTCCTCCTTTGCTGGCTCTCTCTCCTGCTCCACCATGTGAAGATTTCCCTCCTTACCTTTACCTTCCACCATGATTAAGTTTCCTGAGACCTCCGTAGCCATGCTTTCTACACAGCCTATGGAACTATGAGTCAATTAAATCTCTTTTGTTCATAACTTACCCAGCCTCAGGTAGTTCCTTACAGCAATGTGAGAATGGACTAATACAGGAAGGAAATTCTGGGGAGCACAGCTGCAGCTGAATTGGAACAGTACAAAATTGCCACAGTCCTGATCTTTATTTTGTTTTTTTTTTTTTTTTTTTTTTTTGAGACGGAGTCTCGCTGTCCCCCCAGCTGGAGTCCAGTGGCGTGATCTCGGCTCACTGCAAGCTCCGCCTCCCGGGTTCACGCCATTCTCCTGCGTTAGCCTCCCCAGTAGCTGGGACTTCCAGATGCCTGCCACCACGCCCGGCTAATTTTTTGTATTTTTAGCAGAGACGGGGTTTCACTGTGTGTTAGCCAGGATGGTCTCGATCTCCTGACCTCGTGATCCGCCCGCCTCGGCCTCCTAAAGTGCTGGGATTACAGCCATAAGCCACCGTGCCCGGCCCACAGTCCTGATCTTTACCAAACATACCATGATAAAAAAGAGAATGATTAACCCTGACGCCACCATGGACCTATTTAAAAAGATATGAAGTGAGGTTTCAGGTATTTAAGACCTACAGAATGTAACAGGACAAAATAATTCAATAAACTCAATTTTCTGGTTCTGACCACTTAACAACTCCACCTGAAATTCTCAGACATCATGACTAGCACTAGCATGGCAATTTTCATTTTTTGGTGGGGGGCTACTGTTTTTAATAAAATGCTGGGCTGATGGCTTTGACTCAGTGGTAACTCCTGTGTGACTTTGTAAATAAAATGGGCAAGATTACTCAATTTTATGTCCTAATTCTGCTATAGCCTTTTATATTTACCTCATAGTAATATTCTCTAAGTAATCTTTGTTTGCTTTCTTGTTGCAACACTTTAATATCTTAGAAGGAAGGAATATAAAATTGATGTAATTATTGGTTTTTCTGCTGTGTGAACTGTAAGTTAATTTCCATACATTGTTTTAATGTCACTTTCTTTTAACAAAAGAGTTGAGCTTCAAGTCAGTGACAAGTAAATACAGAACATAAAATTTTAAAAAATAACAAAAAAATGTTCATCAGCTAATAAAACACATTTTTTCTTTGTTAAAAGATAAAACTACATTTCATCTATGAAAGAATTTTCTGTCAAATCTTACATGGCAAGATTGACAACAGTAATATTTTTTTCTAAGATGAAAAACATTTTCAAATGAGAGATGAACTCCTTAATAAAGATGTAATCAGTCTTGTCAGGGAGAGGATTTACACAGTAAGTAAAGAGAAGTTCAAATTTGAAATTAATGGCACACAAGAGAGCAGTTCTCATAGTCCAGGATCAGTCCTCAGACATTTACTTGAAGGATTATTATTTCCTTTACATTTTGGAAGAAAAAAGTATAGAAGAGGTAGGAATAAATATCAGTTATTATAATAGAAAAGTTATAAAGAGAAAAAGAATTCATACTAACATCTTCTCCAGCTCACCTATACTAAATTATTAGCTAAAAAGAGAAATGACAAGAGTTTCAGATCATGCTGAGAAGCAAGAAAGAATAGAAAATAATGTGTCACATTCAATTTCAGCCTGTAATTTCATATTTCCCCTAAAAGGAAATATCTCAGGATACTGAATTACAAGTTCTAGCTAACAGATCGAGATGAAGCAGATGCTTTATACCAAGTAAGGTGCCAGACACAAACTCAAATTTTTAAAGGAAATAATCACAAAATTCTTAGACCTCTTACGTTTTCCACTCCCAATGAGAATGGAAGAGAGGGTGCCTGATCTCTTTCTTCATGCTCATTTGGATGGGCTGGGGCCTCCACCAAGTGTACTGATACTGCTTATTATGTTATTCCTGAAGCGGTAGGGCATAATAACTGCATTCTGATTCGTGTCCAGGGAAATCAAGAGATGGAGAAATTGGCCCACCAACCACTTTGGTGGTAAAAGAGGAGAGTTTCCTTTGTGATTGGCCCGCGCTCCTAAATTTGCCCAAGTAAAATCTACATGAGTGTTTCCCACGACTTGGAGGTGGATTGCATATGAGGGTGAGTTCACCTTGGATTCAGTCCAATAGTGCTGCTGAAAGAAATCAAGGGGGCCCCATTCACAAGGATGAAATCTAGGTGTATGCCAGATTGCTGGAGGTAGTAAGGGTGGAGAGATTCTAAAGCCATCACTCAAATAGAGACCCATCCACTAGGGAACCAGAAGTGAGAGACTTCACTGATGAGACTCAAGTGCCCACAAAAGCACTATGAGAGAGTTACCCTAAATATCTGCCAGTTCCAGGAACTCAAATCTGGCCCACCAAAGACAAGTTAAAGTAAGCATTTCCATATTACCTTTCTCTTCTTCCCTCCAATGCTCCAAATCTAGAGTGCCCTGAAGCTATGGCAAGCTGGCACCTAAAATCAGCACTAGCTGAAGAAAAGAAAAGACATAACTTTAAATTGAGAATTTCAAATATTATACAGAAACCAACACTCTAATTTCTGAATCTAGGAAGTGTTTTGGGCCTTAAGAGGTCTTTAGGACTGCTCATTATCTAAATGTGAGCTGAAAATCTTGGAACTCAAATTTAATGATGGGTAAAAGCTTCCACCACTGAAAAGATTTAAGACATAATGAGAGAACAAAAAAAAAAGTTGTATTAGGATTTATGCTTAGGGCTTCTTCAATGTAAAAGTAATATAAAAATCACCTTCACATAAACCTTCTACCAACTCCATCCTATCAGGCTTCCTAGAGTAAACAACTTGTTCTTTACTCTCTCTAAATAAGGACTTAGCCTCTCCTTTGTTCATCAGAAACCTTATTAAGATTTTTCTTAGACCTCGGTGGTGATCGGGAGGTGATGCTTAGGTATAAGCATATGTATAGGAATATATGCTTGGTGGCTTTTTTCCCCCCAACATTTGTTACATACTGAGGTTTTGGTATATATTTTTTCTTACCAAGAATTAAAATTTACATAAAATCAAAAGTTACAGGGATTATACTATCTTTTGATATGTTCATTTTTTCTCCTTTGTTAGCATTTAGGGCATACCCCATAACTCCAATTGCCTCACTAGTAGACATTTCCCAGTCAAATAAGATATGGCCTGAGGAAACGGCCCAGTAAGTATAATTTTACTGAAATAAGAACAGAAGCAAAGTTCTAATGGGTTGATGAATACATGGGAAATGAGGAAATAGATATAAGAAATGAATACCAAAATTTCTGGAAGCTCCACAGTAACCAAATGAGGAATTCGGTGCTGTTGCAAGAACTAGATTGAATGAAAAAAAATAAAGTTAAAGGCCAAATATAATTATTACAGACCTAATTTAAAAAAATTATGACTCTTTTAAGTGCTTATGATGCTTTAAAAATGTTTTAAAAATCTGTATTTTTATGTTCTGTGTAACTCGCATAAAATGAGTTCTCATTAAACTTCATTTTTACTTATACAACCATGTCTTCCAATAAGTATATGTTCTATACCTTCTCAGAGTATACTCTGTTATGTGTTGTATGTGGAATATACAATGGGAACAATTGTGCTCAATTACTATTCTGCCCAATGCTGTAGCTTACCATGTATAGAGTGATAGTCTATAATACATGCATAGGACAATGACTAACATATTCTTACAATATCTCCTTTGAAGGGGAATATTCTGATTAATTTATGATGTGGTAGTAATAAATACTTAAAATAACACATGAACACGCTAATATAAGCACTGATTTCATTATTTTATTTATTTATTTATTTAAAGACAGTCTCACTCTGTCACCCAGACTGGAGTGCATTGGCATCATCATGGCTTACTGCAGCCTCAACCTCCTGGGCTCAGGTGATCTTCCCACCACAGCCTCACAGGCAGCTTAGACTACAAGTGTGTGCCATCATGCCCAGCTAATTTGTTGTGTTTTTTGTAGAGACAGGGTTTTGCCATGTCACCAGGCTGGTCTCAAACTCCTGGACTCAAGAGACCAACCTGCCTTGGCCTCCCAAAGTGCTGGGATTACAGCTGTGAGCCACTATGCCTGGCCTCTTATTTTTGTTTCTTATTCATATTATCTAAGAATTTTAATTTACTGTCAGTGGTTATTGCTTTATGAAATCTCAGTAACAAGAAGCAAAGAAAATGAGATCAGTAAGTGAGAATCCTGAATACATTACGAACTTTTCTGCTCATAAGTCCTCTTGTTTGAACAAACAGGAAGCATTATCATGAAAGTCTCTTCTGATAATTCCACTGCCATTCTTACATCTATCAATGATTGAAATAAAGTATAAAAAATGAGACTAACCGATGACTAATAGGATAGTAGAAGACCCTTAAAATAGTTTTATTCCTCTAGTACAGGTGGTCTTAAATGGGGGTCTTAAAAAAATGATTCTAATTCTCAAGATTTCTAGAAATGCTTCCTAAAAAGTAACCTTTACATTATATCCTTCAAATTAAAAGCAAAGTGCCTTAACAGCGAAGTAAAATCATGTTCCATAGGAATAAATTTCCTCCACTCATTATGAATACAGGTATCAGAAAGATTAAAATTTACTTCTTTCTGTCATTGACACAACTACTCTGCTTATTCTTGCTTAGTTATTTCAGTACCCATGACAGTGTTCCAGCACATAGCTGAGTATGTGGGACAAATTCAGAACACAGAAATTATTATATTAATGCATGAATAAATGAATGAATAGTTGAAGTGTAAGTTCCTAGGAAGAAAGGCAATGAGATAAATCCACTTTTTTTCCCTCACATAGGCCTTGTTTGAAGACAATAATTACATGGCCTGAGGCCCTCTCTTTGAGAATACTTCATTTTTACTCAAAGAGGTCTTACCTAGTATGTAAACCTCATTTGTTTGATCCATTTAACTTCATCATTTGGGAGATATAATGGTTCTCAGACTTGTAATATTTTGACGGCATGAAACAAATAATATTTGATTTGTTACATCTGAAGGATTATAAGGCTAATGAGTAAGAATAACTCGATGCTCCACTTCAGGTGATTCGTATGCTATAGGAGTTAGCAATCTAGTTCTTGTCTTTCGTTTGAATAAATTAACAAATATTCCTAGAGTATCTACTGATTACAAGGCCTGAGCCAGACGGACCTTGTTAGGGACTCTTGAACAAGCAGAACTAAAAGCATGATAGACAAAAGGTAGAAATCTAATTAAAAGCAGTTGAGATGATGACACAAGATCAATTGAAATAATCTGCAAAGCCCAGAATGAAGTTAGACACTTTTCATTTTAGTCTGCTGACAAAATTAAGCAATATAACATCACAAAATATTAGATTTGTTAATTATATATTTGTCTATTTTATGCTTAAGTGTATCTACATTAAATGTTAGATTAAATGCAATGTGGTGTTAGTATTAGACCCTGGAGTAAAGTCATAGGTGAAAAACCAGTGAAAGCAAATAGTCTGTAGTTTAGTTAATATTCTAGCAATATTAATTTTTTTAGTTTTGAAAAATGGTTATAAAAGATGTTAACATTCGGGCAAACTGGATAAAGATTACATGGAATCTCTTTTGGCTATTTTTGTAACTTCTGTAAATTAAAAAGTACTTCAAAATAAAATTATTTAAAATTGTAATTAGAACAACTCTATATTAAATTTTTTCATAACCCTCATTATTGTGTGTGTGTGTGTATATATGTATATATGTATATATGTGTATATATGTATATATGTATATATGTGTATATATGTATATATGTATATATGTGTATATATGCATATATATGTATATATGTGTATATATGTATATATGTATATATGTATATGTATGTATATATGTATGTGTGTATATATATGGTTTTGTTTTGTTTTTTTTTTTTTTTTTTTTGAGACAGAGTCTCTCTCTGTCGCCCAGGCTGAAGTGTAGTGGCGCTATCTCGGCTCACTGCAAGCTCCGCCTCCCAGGTTCACGCCATTCTCCTGCCTCAGCCTCCTGAGTAGCTGGGACTACAGGCGCCCACTATCACGCCCGGCTAATTTTTTGTATTTTTAGTAGAGACGAGGTTTCACCGTGTTAGCCAGGATGGTCTCCATCTCCTGACCTCGTGATCCACCCGCCTCGGCCTCCCAAAATGCTGGGATTACAGGCGTGAGCCACTGCGCCTGGCCTGTTTTAAAATATTTTTAAAACCAAATTGTGAGTCATGTCGATGGCTTATTTGGGACTTTATTCAAGACTCTTTAGTGCCACTGACTTTAATGGTTTGCCCATACATCAAACTGAGCAACCCTAAGGAGGCATTCTTTCCTCTTCATGGCAGAAGTAGTAGTATTTTCCAACAATGACTTCTGCCTTAGGTCTGAATAGTGTCCTAAACATTTTGCCTCATGTTCATTTTAGCTGCACATTTTAAAGGGGACAGTTTCCAGTTACACAATGTTTCTTTTACTATCTGGTAATGAGAGTTATAATAAATACTTCAGGCCCTGACCACATTTTGTCAGAGGTAAATATTATGCTTTCTTTTTTGTTTACAGTACACAATGATCCTCATCATTTTGAGATATTTCTATATCAATCTCCCATTTTTTTTTTTTTAGTTGCTGTGATCATTTCCCCATGTATATGTTATGTGAAAGAAAAGTATTTGAGATTGTGTTCACTAACAAGAAATAGGCATTGGAAAATAAGTACATTGGGCTCAACACTATTCTGACACAATAGGAAAACCTAGTAAGATAGTAATCTTAATGGCAGCAAATGTCATTAAATTAAAAACATCTACACAGCAACAACCTAATGTTCATATTAATGAGAGGTAGGAACACTGATAGTAATCAACATCTGTTGCTGGTGTTAATATTCAACATTAAAGTAATCCACAGAGGGAAAATACAACTACTGCAGGTTAAATGACAACTACAGCTTTTCTGATTGGTGGTTGTAAGCAGAAGGTCCAGTAGCAGCAAAGTAATCAAGACGGGGTTTTCACATCATGTCTTTCCAAATAATCACTGTCCTAAGTGAGGAGTAGAAGACACTGTCACATTGAGGTATTAGTCAGTTTTCACAGTGCCATAAAGAACTGCGCAGACTGGGTAATTTATAAAGGAAAGAGGCTTAATTGATTCACAGTTCTACATGGCTGGGGAGGCCTTAGAAAACTTATAATCATGGCAAAAGGGGAAGCGGAAACAAGCACCTTCTTCACATGGCAAGCAGGAGAGAGAAGAAAGAAGGAGGAACTTCCAAACACTTATAAAACCGTCAGCTCTTGTGGGAACTCCCTATCAGGAGAGCGGCAGGAGAGAAACAGCCCTGCATGATCCAATCACTTCCCTACTTCCACAATGGGGATTACAAATGAAGATGAGATTTGGGTGGCGACACAGAGCCATATCGTATCAAAGTATGAAAGGTTTCTAGGATTTATTAGTTTGGGTTGTTAAGAGTTATACGGCTGGCAACGCTGTGCAGGGCCGTTTACTTCAGCTGCATACATTTTTTCGCTGCATGAGGGGTTGGGGAGAGCTACTCTCTTCTGGTCCTGAAAAGTAATCAAGAGAGAGAGGGATTTTTCACATCGTGTCTTAATTCTCACAAAGGCACGCTTCAAATGACGGATAAAAACCCGTCTTCCCGACTCCAAGAAGCTACTTTCTGACAGTTGTAAACAAGCTTCTTTCTCTTACTGCACAGGAGAGTCCTCTTACAGATCTCAGATCCTGACATTATTTTCAATAAAACTTTGTGCGGCCGCTAGTTTTAAATTCATGGTCTCCTGGAAGCTTTGGCTGGAGACTACTCAGCTCGTCACTGAACTAACGGCTTTTGGGGGTTCTTTTTTCCCAGTTGAGTTTCTGTGTCTTTTACACGTTTGGTTTTATGGTCCGTTGGAGGTTTTTTCACGCTGAGGGTGAAGATTCTTAGTTTCCTCAATTAGCATAAAAGCTGCTCCAAGGCTGCTGAGTCTTCAGTTCCATTCCATTCAAAATGTTAATTCCTGAGACACGCAACCTACGCCCTACTGTCCTTTGTCCCACGGCTTCTCGAGATTATCTCTGTGTTTTAATAGATAAAACGCCTTCTCTCCCCACCCGTGGGGTGCAAAGCACAGCGCATGGGGCTGGTGGCGCCCGAGAGCATCACACAACGCATGCGCCAGTCCGCAGGTGTGGGCGGAGGAGAAATCGCGTCGGCGGCAGGGGATGACGTAAAAAGGCCGCGCTGTACTGCGGCTTGTGCCGCTTCCGCAAGAAGGTTTCCTGGCCTGTTGCAGCCATGGTGCATTGCAGTTGCGTGTTGTTCAGAAAGGTCCGTGCGGGTCCCCTCAGCCTGGTCCCCTTAGCGCTGACAGCTCTGGTTCTTCTTTGCTCCCCTGTCTCTCCACTACTGTCTTCGTGGCGGCCTTTTCCTTGCTTGGTTTTCCCATAGACTTCTCCGCCCCTCCTGTAGTGGCGCTTTGTCAGTAAGCGGTGACAGTGGTGTGTGTACCTGGCGTGGTTTGGACGGTTGTTTGGGGGCAGGGGCAGGGTTTGAAGTTCTTTAGAGACATAGTGTGCACGTGGTATGAGGAACTGGGATACCTGCCTGCTGTGGCCCAAATGTTGTGGTGGTTTTTTTTCCTTTAATGTCCACAGCCTGTTTTTATATATTTCTCCTTGAGTGCGCTGTTTAAGGTTTTTCTAATGGATTTTTATGAAGACACGAAAGCGTGTAATTGATGTGCCTTCCTGCAGAACATTTAGGTCGATTTTTGTGTGGTGTCGGTCTTAAGAATCGTTTCCGTAAAAATTTACAACTGCTTTGAATTTTTATTTTTTAAATCTTATCCTATCAGTAATGCTTTTTGAAACGTTGCCTGCGTCATATTTGGCCATTACTTTATTTCTAACGACCAGAGTAAAATACTCCTTTTAAGTAAGGCTCCTAAACCCCTGAATCTGATTAATCTAGAGCAGGAAAAAAGTGTTACATATTTAATGGAACTGTAGAAACTCTCCTCGAGTATATCAGAATGGTCAATATTTCAACTTTCTTGAAAAAAAAATCCCATTTGTTTTTTATAATAGCTATCCTAAATGACTAGAGATGTGGATTATGAATTTAAGAAATTACTCCTTAAGTTATTTTGATTTTAATAGCCTAAGAGGTTAATACGTAAGTCCTTTACCTACAAGAAGTTCTTGATTTAGTGAAGGAAACAGGTAAACACTAAATGCAGCGTGAGATTTATAAAGGTGTAATAATAGAGATATAATCAAATTGCTGGGAGAGCCAGCAAAGTCAGAGAATTGATTAGAGGAATTTGGAAAGACGTTAGAAAATATGACGTTTAGGTGGATTTATGATAGGAAAAACAAATGACATTCTAAGTAGAGGAAAAGCATGAGCAGAATGGCATGTAGAAATGGCGGTATTTCATGTAGTACAGAGCAAAGAGGAAGAGAGGAAGGGTTGAGCAAGTGAAAAGGATACAGGAAGGAACTAGGCATGGTAGGTGAGCCTATTGTTCTTGCTACTTGGGAGGCTGAGGTGGGAGGATCCCTTAAGGCCAGGAGTTCAAGACCAGTCTGGGCAACATAGCAAGACCCCATCTTTAAAACAGTCGGGGTGGTGTGGTGCCTGTAGTCCCAGCCATTTGGGAGGCTGAAGTGGGAGAATTGCTTGAGCCCAGGAGTTTGAGGCTGCAGCAATGATAGTGCTATGATAGTGCCACGGCACTCGAGCCCAGGCACCAGAACCAGACCCTGTTTCAAAAAAAAGAAAATAAAAGATACCAGAAGGGTATTTTAGTAGCTTTGGATATACAGTTGACCCTTCAAGAACATGGGGGTTAGAGATGCCCCCGCCACAGCTGAAAATCTTCATGTAACTTTCAACTCCCCCCACAAAACAACTACTAATAATCTGTTGGCTGGAAGCCTCACTGATAACATAAGCCGTCAGTTGACACATATAAAATATATATATAGTATATACTGTATTCTTAAATTAAGCTAGAGAAAAGAAACAGTTACTAAGAAAGTCAGAAAGAAGGGAAAATATATTTACTGTTCATTAAATGGAAGTGAATTGTAAAGGTCTTCATCCTTATAGTCTTCATGTTGAATAGACTGAGGAGGAAGAGGAGGAGTTGGTCTTGCTCTCTTGGGTGGCAGAGGCAGAAGGGGTGGGGGTGGAGGAGGTGGAAGGGGAGGCAAGAGAGGCAGACACACTATGTGTAACTTTATGGAAGTACATCATAATTTCTGTCATGCTTTTGCTTTTCTCTTTCCCCCAAAAAAATGTTTCTATAGGGTACCAATACCTCTTCCACCATTTGCTTTGGTTTCAGTGCCTCTTCACAGAAGGGTCCATGTCATAAAAGAAGTCAAAAGCAGTCCTGAACAATAGGAGCTCTTCTGCCAGATTATCTAATGTTCGTTTTTCTGGTAGTTTATTCTGTGTTTTCTTCCTTGTTATCTGGCACTGGATCTGAAGCACTCATCAAGCTGTCTTCTGTTAATTCCTCTGGTTTGGTGGCTGTTAGCTCTTGAGTTTCTTCAAGATCCATATCTTGAAGTCCTTTACCCACTTTCCCGCCGTTTTTGGCATATTCACAGCCTCTTTCATGATTTCCTTGATTGGCTCTTTTGTAAATCCTGTGAAATTATAACACAACACAACACCTGGACAAAGTTTTCTCCAGCACGAACTTACTGTTTGGGGCTTATGGCTTTCATGGCTTTTTCAATAATAATGGCATCTTCAATTATGTAAACTTCAGATTTTCCTGAAGTTTTCTCTATTAGTGTTCTTTTCCATGGTTGACAATCCTTTTCGTAGAAAATCATGTTTAATGAGCCTTAAAGGTCCTTGCGACCCCGTGATCTAGAGGCTGATTTACAGACATTGTGTTTGGGGGCAAGGACACCACTTCAGTGCCTTTGATGTTGAACTCATGGGGTTCTGGGTAGCGGGGAGGTGGGGCACTGTCCATTAGCAGAGGAACTTTACAAGTCAGTCTCGTATTGGGAAGGTACTTCCTGACTTCAGGGAGAAAGCATCCATGGAACCAATCCAGAGAAAAGGTTTTTGTTCTCTAGGCCTTCTTATCCAACAAAGACTGGCAGCTGATGTTTATCTTTCCCTTTCAAGATTGAGGGGTTAGCAGCTTTATAGATAAGGACAGTCCTGATTACAAACACAACTGCATTTGCACAATACAGTAGGGTTAGCCTATCCCTTCCTGGCTTAAATCCTGGTGCTCCCTTCTCTTCCTTACTAATGTCTTTTGTAGCATGTTTTCCAGAATAGGGTACTTTCATCAGCATTAACAACCTGATTTGGGAGATATTCTTTCGTCTCAGTGATTTTCTTAATGGCATCTGGGAACTCATCTGCTGCCTCTTAGTTGGCAGAACCTGCTTCACCTGTTATCTTGATATTTCTAAAGCCAAAGCCAAACCTATTTCTTCTTTTTTTTTTTTAAATTATACTTTAAGTTCTAGGGTACATGTACACAGCGTGCAGGTTTGTTACATAGGTATACATGTGCCATGTTGGTTTGCTGCACCCATTAACTTGTCATTTACATTGGGTATTTCTCCTAATGTTATCTCTCACCCAGCCCCCAACCCCATGACAGGTCCCAGTGTGTGATGTTCCCCCCGTGTCCCAAGTGTTCTCATTGTTCAGTTCCCACCTATGAGTGAGAACATGTGGTGTTTGGTTTTCTGTCCTTGTGATAGTTTGGTCAGAATGATGGTTTCCAGCTGCATCCATGTCACTCATCCTTTTTATGGCTGCATAGTATTCCATCGTGTATATGTGCCACATTTTCTTAATCCAGTCTATCATTGATGGACATTTGGGTTGGTTCCAAGTCTTTGCTGTTGTGAATAGTGCCACAATAAACATACGTGTGCATGTGTCTTTATAGTGGCATGATTTTTAATCCTTTGGGTATATATCCAGTAATGGGATGGCTGGGTCAAATGGTATTTCTAGTTCTAGATTCTTGAGGAATCTAGAACTGTCTTCCACAGTCAAACCTCCTTCTAAAATTATCAAATCATCCTTTGCTGGCAATTAATTCTTTAGCTTTAGATCCTTCACATTCCTTTTGCTTTTAAGTTGTCATATGGTAACCTTACTTTTTCTTTTATTGTATTAGTCTATGTTTTTAAAATAGGAATCCTGCATCTACATAAAAGTTGCCTTTTTAATACAAGATAAAAAGTTAATTCACAAAAAGTGCAAGGTTTTCACACCTTTTGGCATAGCTGCTGCAGTGGCTTCATGAATTTTTGTCTTTTTTTACACTGATTCTTATTCTGGATTCATTTATCTTGAGATAGCAGGCCATCGCAGCTACAGATTTTAATCTGTGGTAGATATCAAGCAATTCATCTTTTTATCGTAGTGTCATGACTTTACTTCTTGGGAGCACTGCCAGCATCACTAGTGGCACTTTGTATGGGTTCCATGGTGGTGTTCAAGGTTTACAGTGTAGCGCTGAACATGATGAAAAATGCAAGAGAACTGTGAGAGATTACTTTTTACTGACTTATAAAATGTACTGGCAAGATGAACTGCTCATGGGGAGACGATTAGCATCACATGGCCTTTTAAGTGGCAACTTGGGACACTTGAGATCCCGGGATAGTTACAGGAGGTAACTACGAAATTATTACAGTATTCCACGATGTACTACAGTTAATTTTATGCAGTTATGATTTAATACTGCATTTTTACATTTGCTTACATTTCTCTTGACTGCAAATGCTGCCATGTAAGATCTGTAAGTGTGTGTGTAAGTTTTGATAAATTTTAAGTTTTTATAATAGATGTGTGGCCAGGTGCAGTAGCTCATGCCTGTAATTCCAGCACTTTGGGAGGCCAAGGCAAGAGGATTGTTTGTGGCCAGGAGTTTGAGACCAGCCTGGGCAACATAGCAAAACCCCATCTCTAGTTTTTAAAAATTAAGATAGATATGTGTATATTTTATGGAAGTAAATGACAAAATAGATTAGCATCTATATATTTTTTGCACTCATAACACACAGCTTTTCTTAATTTTTTCAATATTTCCAATCTATTTGCTTTGTAAGTTTTTTCAAATTGTTGCAAAGCTCAAAAAATTTTTCTAATATATTTATTGAAAAATATCTGTATATAAGTGGACACACGCAGCTCAAACCAGTGTTGTTCAAGGGTCAACTGTAGTACTAAGAATTTTTTACTTTATTTCATAAGCATTTTTTTTTTTGAGACGGAGTCTCGCTCTGTCGCCCAGGCTAGAGTGCAGTGGCTTGATCTCGGCCCACTGCAAGCTCTGCCTCCCAGGTTCATGCCATTCTCCTGCCTCAGCCTGCAGAGTAGCTGGGACTACAGGCGCCCGCCACCACGCCTGGCTAGTTTTTTTGTATTTTTAGTAGAGACAGGGTTTCTCCATGTTAGCCAGGATGGTCTCGATCTCCTGAACTCGTGATCCGCCCACCTTGGCCTCCCAGAGTGCTGGGATTACAGGCATGAGCCACTGCACTTGGCTCATAAGCATTTTTTTAATGCATGGTTTTTGAGTAAAGGAGAAACATGATTAGAGATCAGATCAATTTCAGAAAAATAGTTCAGGCAACAAGTTGGAGAATGCAATAAGGAAAAAATGCCTAAACACTGAAAGGAGCTCATGTGGTGCAGGTACTAGGGCAGTGGTACTGGAGAGAAGAGAGTAGGGCTTTGGGAAAAGAAGCAGGTGTAGTCTGAAAGACTTCCATTTGTGTAGTCTCAATGAATATGTAAACCATGGTTCTGTTACTTTAGAGAACATTGGAGGAACAGATTTTACCTGGGGAAGAGTTTGGTTTTGTTATGTTAACATTTATTTTTGAGGTGGCTATTATTCAACTGATATGTAAGAACAAGTTTCATATTGGGGAATTTCAAATATAAGTTAAATACACATTCTGCTCACATTTGCTTTATACTATTAAAAGCTTTCATCCTGGTGGAAATGTCTGACAGATTGGACATAGAAAATATCTCACCTAGGTGATGGTTATTGGTACAAGCAGAAATTACCCAGGGGAGAAAGTCTAGAATGAAAACAGGGCCAAGTCAGAAACCCTCAGGATAGGTGGGACAATAATTGATAACTGAAAAAACTAAAAGGGACTTAAGAGAGATAATCAAATGGGAAAGGGGGTCAGATCGGAGATGTGGAGGTGAGCTAAGAAAATGTTATAGAATTGGCATGTGAAAAGCTATTAACGACTTTTTTAGAAGAAGTTTTAGTGGAAGAAAGAACTAGAAAAAGGTTCTAAGGTGATACACTTTTGGTATACAAATATTCTTTCTCTTTTTTTTTTAAGTATGGAAATTTCATCGATAAGCTAAGACTCTTCACCAGGGGAGGATCCGGTGGAATGGGTTATCCTCGTTTAGGTGGAGAAGGTGGAAAAGGTGGTGATGTCTGGGTTGTAGCCCAGAACAGAATGACTTTAAAACAACTTAAAGACAGGTATCCTCGGAAACGGTTTGTGGCTGGAGTAGGAGCAAACAGCAAGTAAGTAATTACTGAATGACTTAAATTTTAGAAAATCAAACCCTTCTGGAAATTTTTTTTTTAGTTACAAAATAAAAACTTAATTGTTAATTTGAAGTAAATTATTTCCTGTATTTATAACCAAGCAAAAGCCTAAAATGTCTCAACTCATAAAAGACTGATACTAAAGAATATTTCAGAGTTTTAAAACTTTCTGTCCGTTTCTTTTCCCAATGTCTATCTGTATTCTTTTTGCACTTCCCCTGTAGAAACCGATAATTATCTGAATTCCCACTGTTTTCTTCTAAAATTATCTTTGACAACCTTTTAGAAAACTTTCAGTCTTAACCATGCTACTCTACCCCACCACCATTAGAAGGCAAGATAACCACTATTAACCTTTTCTTGACTTTTCTAAGACTTTTCTGTGTGTTTACACAAATGCAATTATGTGCCTAAAAGTTTAGAATACAAAAATGAGAGTACAGTATTTTACAATCTGCTATTTTTACTTTTTTTCACATGTCAAAATTATTCAGAATACCTGCATAATAAATAACTATTTTGTCATTTGTCTATTTAGGTTATTGTTGATTTTTTTTTCCGATTATAACCACAGTGCAGCATTCTGTGTAGATACTATTTTACATGTTTGTTCAATTATTATTTTGATAAATTCCCAGAAGTAGAATTACTAAAACATTTGTACTAATTTTTTCTTTTATGAGCAGTTTAAGAGTAGCCAGATTTGCCTTCTATAATGTAAGTACTCTCATTTGAGGTTAGTTTTTTAAAAGCTTTGCTATTTGGTGGATTTTCTTTTTTTTTTTATAGATTCATTTTTTCTTTTTTTTTTGAGACAGAGTCTCATTCTGTTGCCTAGGTTGAGTGTAGTGGGCACTATCATAGCTCACTGCAGCCTCTACCTTTCAGGCTGAAGTGATCCTCCCACCTCTGCCTCCCAAGTAGCTGAGACTACGGGTATGTGCCACCATGCCCAGCTAATTTTTAAATTTTTCTTTTTTTGTAGAAATGGGGTCGTGCTATGGTGTTCAGGCTTGTCTTGAACTCCTGGACTCAAGAGATCCTCCTGCCTCCGCCTCCCAAAGTGCTGAGATTACAGGCGTGAGCCACCACGCCTGGCTTTTTCTACCCTATTTGTATTGTAGCAATAATCTCTTCATTTCATGGTTGCAATATTTTAGTTTCGGGTTAAAATGACCTTTGGTGGTTAGCTTAGTAACTTAAATCATTACTTAATGCCATTTTAGTGGGATATAATAGTCTAAAATGCAAAGAAATAATTAGGGATAATTTTAGTTTTTTTAAACCCCGTGTTTGACCATTTAACATCTGCGTTAACCAGAGAATTGATTGCTACTCTTCTTTGTAAACCATTTTGTGTGTATGTGTGTGTGTGTATATATACACACACACATACATACATATATATACTTTTTTTTTGGTAGAATTAGTGCACTGAAAGGCTCCAAAGGAAAAGACTGTGAAATCCCTGTGCCTGTGGGTATTTCAGTAACTGATGAAAATGGTAAAATTATAGGTGAGTGTACTATAACTCCAAAAGTTGTAAAAATGTGCACGTTTTCTAAAATGAAACAATGGAATAGCTTCTCTTGAGTTTCAGAAGATTTTTTAACTAACAATTTTAGCTACTATTCTATAAGAGAGCATTTTTAAAACTTATAAAAGTTAAATTGACTGCTAGATTTAAGATTGTTTTAAAGATGTTACAGTTCTTACTTGGTCTTAAAATATATAACTAGGCTCTTTTCAATTGTTTACTGAAGTGTTTTTCTGGGGTCAAACTTTTAATAGATTTGTAAATTGGAATTTCCTGGACTGTTTTTCTGAAAGAACAATATTACATTAATGATTCTACTTATTAATTATAGATTTGTAATTGAGAATTTCCTGGCATGTATTTTTGAAAGTAAAATATTACATTAATGATTTCACTTACTAATCTATAGATTTGTAATTTTGCATTTCTTTGCCTGTATTTCTGAAAGAAATATATTGCATTAGTGATTTCACTTATTAATCTTTGCTGTAAGTATTTCTCTCCCTCTTTTTAAGGAGAACTCAATAAAGAAAATGACAGAATTTTGGTAGCTCAAGGAGGTCTTGGTGGTAAATTACTTACAAATTTCTTACCATTGAAAGGCCAGAAACGAATAATTCACCTTGATCTAAAACTTATAGCTGATGTAGGCCTAGTAGGGTAAGTATCGTTCATATTTTTATTATTATACTTTCAGAGAGAGAGTTCTTGAATAGAAAATAAATGTAAATGGTAATTTGGGGCCATAATTATTTCTAATTTATGGAATTTGTGTGTTGTGTATGTACTTGGAAAATATGCTGCTAAATATTATTTTCAAATTGCCAACACAGAGTTTCATAGTTATTGCTTATTTATAAAATTAAGACCAGAGCAATTGAATAGATCAGTGGGAATGTTAGAGAATGCATAAAGAAAGAAAAATCAATCAAATGCAATATTACAAGATGGTTAAATAATGTTACCAGATATTAATAATAAATCCAAACAAACCGTATTATTATTAAAAATATATAGAAGGAAATAAACAGGGAAAAATGGTTGACATAACTCTTTTGGGTCTTAATAGAGACATTAAAGTATCGTTAATCAAATGGCTAAAGACCAGTACAGACAATCTCAATCCTCAGACTTACGCACTGTTGCCGCCAAATTGAATCCTGCTATGACTGTATATCCTTCTTGCCTCTGCTTAGGATCTATCTAGTCTCAGCAATGTAGGCCTCACAAGAGTGTCCTCTTCCACCAGCCTCCATTCTTTCATTAAATAATGCTGTTTAGCTGTGGGGTTTGCAGTGCAGCTGCCCACTGGAAGGGGATAGATAGTAAGATACAGAATACATAAAGGAAGAGAAAACTTCAATTTGCATTTGCTCTCTCTCCCCCATCCCCCCTCCCTCCTATCCTCTCCCTCTGGCCCTATCACAGTATTACACAGTTATTCAGATGGAAAGCTTAAGGACAAGATAAGGAAAACTGCCTTATTACTGTCCTACTCCAAATTCCTAGTTCTATTTTTTGCTTCCCCATAGCTTCTTTCTAAGTTCTTTTCATGTTCCTCTTCAGTCATCTCACTGCTTCTTTACCAGACTCTTAAGTCTGTATCCCTCGTCTTTTGCCCTGCCTGACCAGCCACTAGAGCTTACCACCATTGGTTTAGGGTTCACAGAGGCCCCATTCCTGCTAAAATTATAACAAGGAAAGATGTGATCCTGGCTTGCCATTTACATTTATTTTTTTCAATAAAGCACAGTTACAAGAGTTATTAGATGTAAGTTCTATAATCCTCTATATTTTTAGGAACATTATGGGCTTAATAGGGTCTTATGGACAAGACTGGCAGTCCAGCCAATCACAGTTGCATTTTGCATAAACATGTGTTTCAAGTTCTGAAGAGACAACTTTACAGTCTAAGAGGAGCCTAGCACGGCTTAGTCATAAAAGTGGAGTGGCATGGAGGACTCAGGTTAGACTATTTAGGTTAGGATCTCAAATCCTCTGGAGGCTGGCCAGCTGGTCTTGGGTAAATTACACAGCCTCTCTAAGCCTTTGTTTTCTCTTCTTTTTTTCTTTTCTTTTCTCTCATTCTTCCTTCACTATAGTTTTTTGCTTTTCACCACGTCATTTGTTTTCTCATCTTTAATAGTGTATGGAGATAAGTCTTTCCTTAAAATGTTGGTGGGTAAGATAATGCATTTACAGCAGAATACATGCTTTGCATTTTTGTACGTTCAATGAATTGTAGCTGCTATCTTCATCATCATTATATTGCCAACTTACTGGAAAACTGCATATAATGAAATACTAGGCTTTTCAGAAGTAGGTTTGAAATTTGTCTGTAATTAAAGCATCAAGATTCTTAAGCATATCAAACAAGAATGGGGGAAAAAGATTTTTAAGTGGAATGTTTAACATATTTTCTAGTGTTTTTAAATTAGGCAACTATTCTTGAAGAGTTACTACTATGAATACTAGCATAAGTAGATATCCTTTTAGCTGGTTTTGGAAATGGACTGAATCACAGAAGAAAGTTATTGTACAACTAACAGATTTGTGCTGCTGTTGTCAGATCTGATCTTTGCATAGGTTGGATTTTAGCCTGTAAAATTTTCACTGGGTACTTTTCAAGAAAAATTTCAAATATCTGTTATTCAGTCATTAGCATCATCTTTCTATTCATACTTTGATCTTCTTGGAAATAGTTGCTTGCATTATGTGCTCAATCATTATGAAAATATGAGGATGTTGGAAACAAGCAAGTCCAGCTAGTGATAATTATGGATAAAAACAGCTGCAATTTGCTTTTCAAAAGCTATAAGAACCTGGATGAAACAGGGTATGAAAAAACTATATGTTCCAGGAGAAACAAGTCATTAAGAAACCTCACATAATTTTATTTTAAATTCATGACAGAAAGATTTTTTTAATGAGGGAAATTGTTGAAATACCTCCAGCTAATACGCTTTTATAAAATTCCAAATTAATATTTGCAGAATATTCCACCATTATTCCAAATGAAAGTTTGGCAGAGTTTTTGAAGTACCGTCTTCAAATTTGAATAAGAACTCTGTGAAGGCGGGAATCATTTTGTCTCATTGCTCAGTATGTTGCCTGATACGAAGTCAGTGCTCAATAAATATTTGTTGGATAAATTTAATGAAAATATATGAATGAGATTTAGCAATGAATGTTTTAAGTAACCCCCATTCCTAGTACTGTCTTTCATACATGGTGGGCCTTTCTTGAGGGAAATTTAGCAGTATAATCAAAGCCTTTAAAATGAGCATGTATTTTATCTGGTATTTCTTCATGTAGACATTTATTCCAAGAAAGAAATCAAAGATGTGTGCAAAGAGAAGTCTTAGCCAGAACAATCAGGCAAGAGAAAAAAAGGGCATTCAAATTGGAAAGAAGGAAGTCAAACTATCTGTTTGCCCACCATATGATCTTATACCTTGAAAACCCTAGAGACTCCTTCAAAAGACTCCTAGATTTGATAAATGAATTCAGTATACTCTCAGGTTACAAAATCAGTATACACAAATCAATAGCACTGCTATACACCAACAACAACCAAGCTGAGAATTAAATCAAGAACTCAATCCCTTTTACAATAGCTACAAAAAATAAAATACCAAAGAATATACGTAACCAAGGTCGAGAAAGATCTCTACAAGGAGAACTACAGAACACTGCTGAAAGAAATCATAGATGACACAAACAAATGGAAATACATCCAAAGCAATCCTAAGCAAAATGAACAAATCTAGAGGAATCATATTACCTGACTTCAAATTATATTACAAGGTTATAGTAACCAAAACAGCATGGTATTGACAGAGAAGTAGGTACTTAGACCAATGGAACAGAATAGAGAACCCAGAAATAAAACCAAATACTTAAGACCAACTGATCGTCAACAAAGCACACAAAAACATAAACTGGGGAAAGGATACCCTATTCAAAAAATGATGCTGAGAAAATTGGATATCCAAATGTAGAATAATGAAACTGCATTCATATCTCTCATTATATACGAAAATTAAGATAGATTAAAGATTTTAATCTAAGACCTGAAATTATAAAAATTCTACAACACTTAGGAAAAACCCTTCTGGACATTGGCCTAGACAAAGAATCTGTGACTAAGATCTCAAACCAAATGCAACAAAAATACATAAGTGGGACCTAATTAAAGTAAAAGTCTTGTGCACAGCAAAAGAAAGAATCAACAGAGTAAACAGCCTACAGAATGGGAGAAAGTATTTGCAAACTACGCATCTAACAGAGGACTAATATACTGAGTCTGCAAGGAACTCAGATCAGCAAGGAAAAAACAATTCCGTTAAAAAGTGGACAAATGACATGGACATTTCTCAAAAGAAGATATGCATACAAATGGCCAATACGCATATAAGAAAATGTTCAACATCACTAATACTCAGGGAAATGCATATTAAAACCACAATGATTTACCAACTTAGCTAGAATGGTCATTATGGAAAAGTCAAAAAACAATACGTGCTGACATAGATGTGGGGAAAAGAGAACTCATACTTTTTTTTTTTCTTTAACTTAAAAAAATTTTTTTTATTATGCTTTAAGTTCTAGGGTATGCACAACATGCAGCTTTCTTACATAGGTATACATGCGCCATGTCGGTTTGCTGCACCCATCAACTCGTCATTTACATTAGGCATATCTCCTAATGCTATCCCTCCCCCAGACCCCCACCCCCTGACAGGCCCTGGTGTGATGTTCCCCACCATGTGTCCATGTGTTCCTTGTTCAGCTCCCACTTAAGAGTGAGAACATGCAATGTTTGGTTTTCTTTCCTTATGGTAGTTTGCTGAGAATGATGGTTTCCAGCTTCATCCATGTCCCTGCAAAGGACATGAACTCATCTTTTTTTATGGCTGCATACCATTCCATGATGTATATGTGCCACGTTTTCTTAATTCAGTCTATCATTGATGGACATTTGGGTTGGTTCCAAGTCTTTGCTATTGTGAATAGTGCCACAATAAACATACGTGTGCATCTGTCTTTATAGCAGCATGATTTATAATCGTTCGGGTATGTACCCAGTAATGGGATGGCTGGGTCAAATGGTATTTCTAGTTCTAGATCCTTGAGGAATCGCCACGCTGTCTTCCACAATGGTTGAACTAGTTTACAGTCCCACCAACAATGTAGAAGTGTTAACTATTTCTCCACATCCTCTCCAGCACCTGTTGTTTCCTGACTTTTTAAGGATCGCCATTCTAACTGGTGTGAGATGGTATCTCCTTGTGGTTTTGATTTGCATTTGACGGCCAGTGATGATGAGCATTTTTTCATATGTTTGTTGGATGCATAAATGTCTTCTTTTGAGAAGTGTCTGTTCATATCCTTCGCCCACTTTTTGATGGGGTTGTTTGTTTTTTTCTTGTAAATTTGCTTGAGTACTTTGTAGATTCTGGATATTAGCCCTTTATCAGATGAGTAGATTGCAAACATTTTCTCCCATTCTGTAGGTTGCCTGTTCACTCCGATGGTAGTTTCTTTTGCTGTGCAGAAGCTCTTTAGTTTAATTAGATCCCATTTGTCAATTTTGTCTTTTGTTGCCATTGCTTTTGGTGTTTTAGACATGAAGTCCTTGCCCATGCCTATGTCCTGAATGGTGTTGCCTGGGTTTCCTTCTAGGGTTTTTATGGTTTTACGACTATCATTTAAGTCTTTAATCCATCTTGAATTAATTTTTATGTAAGGTGTAAGGAAGGGATCCAGTTTCAGCTTTCTACATATGGCTAGCCAGTTTTCCCAGCACCATTTATTATATAGAGAATCCTATCCCCATTTCTTGTTTTTGTCAGGTTTGTCAAAGATCAGATGGTTGAAGATGTGTGTTATTATTTCTGAGGGCTCTGGTCTGTCCTATTGGTCTATATCTCTGTTTTGGTACCAGTACCATGCTGTTTTGGTTACTGTAGCCTTGTAGTATAGTTTGAAGTCAGGTAGCATGATGTCTCCAGCTTTGCTTTTTGGCTTAGGATTGACTTGGCAATGGGGGCTCTTTTTTGTTTCCATACGAACTTTAAAGTAGTTTTTTCCAATTCTGTAAAGAAAGTCATTGGTAGCTTGATGGGGCTGGCATTGAATCTATAAATTACCTTGGGCAGTATGGCCATTTTCATGATACTGATTCTTCCTATCGATGAGCATGGAATGTTCTTCCATTTGTTTGTGTCCTCTTTTATTTCGTTGAGCAGTGGTTTGTGGTTCTTGAAGAGGTCCTTCACATCCCTTGTAAGTTGGATTCCTAGCTATTTTATTCTCTTTGAAGCAATTGTGAATGGGCGTTCACTCATGATTTGGCTCTCTGTTTATCTGTTATTGGTGTATAAGAATGCTTGTGATTTTTGGACATTGATTTTGTATCCTGAGACTTTGCTGAAGTTGCTTATCAGCTTGAGATTCTGGGCTGAGACGATGGTGTTTTCTAAATATACAATCTTGTCATCTTCAAACAGGGACAATTTGACTTCCTCTTTTCCTAATTGAATACCCTTTATTTCTTTCTCCTTCCTGATTGCCCTGGCCAGAACTTCCAATACTATGTTGAATAGAAGTGGCGAGAGAGGGCATCCCTGTGTTGTGCTGGTTTTCAAAGGGAGTGCTTCCAGTTTTTGTCCATTCAGTAATGATATTGGCTGTGGGTTTGTCATAAATAGCTCTCATTATTTTGAGATACGTTCCATCAATGCTGAATTTATTGAGTTTTTAGCATGAAGAGCTGTTGAATTTTGTCAAAGGCCTTTTCTGCATCTATTGAGATAATCATGTGGTTTTTGTCATTGGTTCTGTTTATATGCTGGATTACATTTATTGCTTTGCGTATGTTGAACCAGCCTTGCATCCCAGGGATGAAGCCCACTTGATCATGGTGGATAAGCTTTTTGATGTGCTGCTGGATTCAGTTTGCCAGTATTTTATTGAGGATTTTTGCATCAATGTTCATCAGGGATATTGGTCTAAAATTCTCTTTTTTGTTGTGTCTCACAGGCTCTGGTATCAGGATGATGCTGGCCTCATAAAATGAGTTAGGGAGGATTCCCTCTTTTTCTATTGATTGGAATGGTTTCAGAAGGAATGGTACCAGCTCCTCCTTGTACCTCTGGTAGAATTTGGCTGTGAATCCGTCTGGTCCTGGACTTTTTTTGGTTGGTAGGCTATTAATTATTGCCTCAATTTCAGAGCCTGTTATTGGTCTATTCAGGAATGCAACTTCTTCCTGGTTTAGTCTTGGGAGGGTATATGTGTCGAGGAATTTATCCGTTTCTTCTAGATTTTCTAGTTTATTTGCATAGAGGTGTTTATAGTATTGTCTGATGGTAGTTTGTATTTCTGTGGGATCAGTGGTGATATCCCCTTTATAACTTTTTATTGCGTCTATTTGATTCTTCTCTCTTTTCCTCTTTATTAGTCTTGCTAGCGGTCTATCAATTTTGTTGATCTTTTCAAAAAACCAGCTCCTGGATTCATTGATTTTTTTTGAAGGGTTTTTTGTGTCTCTATTTCCTTCATTTCTGCTCTGATCTTAGTTATTTCTTGCTTTCTGCTAGCTTTTGAATGTGTTTGTTCTTGCTTCTCTAGTTCTTTTAACTGTGATGTTAGGGTGTCAATTTTAGATCTTTCCTGCTTTCTCTTGTGGGCATTTAGTGCTATAAATTTCCCTCTACACACTGCTTGAAATGTGTCCCTGAGATACTGGTATGTTGTATGTTTGTTCTCATTGGTTTCAAAGAACATCTTTATTTCTGCCTTCATTTCGTTATGTACCCAGTAGTCATTCAGGAGCAGGTTATTCAGTTTCCATGTAGTTGAGTGATTTTGAGTGAGTTTCTGAATCCTGAGTTCCAATTTGATTGCACTGTGGTCTGAGAGACAGTTCCTTGTAATTTCTGTTCTTTTACATTTGCTAAGGAGTGCTTTACTTCCAACTATGTGGTCAATTTTGGATTAAGTGCGGTGTGGTGCTGAGAAGAATGTATATTCTGTTGATTTGGGGTGGAGAGTTCTGTAGATGTCTATTAGGTCCTCATGGTGCAGAGCTGAGTTCAATTCCTGGATATCCTGGTTAACTTTCTGTCTTGTTGATCTGTCTAATGTTGACAGTGGGGTGTTAAAGTCTCCCATTATTATTGTTTTGGAGTCTAAGTCTCTTTGTAGGTCTCTAAGGACTTGCTTTATGAATCTGGTTGCTCCTGTATTGTGTGCATATGTATTTAGGATAGTTAGCTCTTCTTGTTGAATTGATCCCTTTACCATTATGTAATGGCCTTCTTTGTCTCTTTTGATCTTTGTTGGTTTAAAGTCTGTTTTATCACAGACTAGGGTTGCAACCCCTGCCTTTTTTTTGTTTTCCATTTGCTTGATAAATCTTCCTCTATCCCTTTATTTTGAGCCTATGTGTGTCTCTGCATGTGAGATGGGTCTCCTAAATACAGCACACTCTTGGGTCTTGACTCTTTATCCAATTTGCCAGTCTGTGTCTTTTAGTTGGAGCATTTAGCCCATTTACATTTAAGGTTAATATTGTTATGTGTGAATTTGGTCCTGTCATTATGATGTTAGCTGGTTATTTTGCTCGTTAGTTGATGCGGTTTGTTCCTAGCGTTGGTGGTCTTTACAATTTGGCATGTTTTTACAGTGGCTGGTACCGGTTGTTCCTTTCCATGTTTAGTGCTTCCTTCAGGAGCTCTTGTAGGGCAGGGCTGGTGTTGACAAAATCTCTCAGCATTTGCTTGTCTATAAAGGATTTTATTTCTCCTTCACTTATGAATCTTAGTTTGGCTGGATATGAAATTCTGGGTTGAAAATTCTTTTCTTTAAGAATGTTGAATATTGGCCCCCACTCTCTTCTGGCTTTTAGAGTTTCTGCCGAGAGATCAGCTGTTAGTGTGATGAGCTTCCCTTTGTGGGTAACCCGACCTTTCTCTCTGGCTGCCCTTAACATTTTTTCCTTCATTTCAACTTTGGTGAATCTGACAATTATGTGTCTTTGAGTTGCTCTTTTTGAAGAATACCTTTGTGGTGGTCTCTGTATTTCCTGAATTTGAATGTTGGCCTGCCTTGCTAGGTTGAGGAAGTTCTCCTGGATAATATCCTGCAGAGTGTTTTCTGACTTGGTTCCATTCTCCCCATCACTTTCAGGTACACCAATCAGACGTAGATTTGGTCTTTTCACATAGTCCCATATTTCTTGGAGGCTTTGTTCATTTCGTTTTACTCTTTTTTCTCTAAAATTCTCTTCTTGCTTCATTTCATTCATTTAATCTTCAGTCACTGATACCCTTTCTTCCAGTTGATCAAATCAGCTACTGAAGCTTGTGCATTCGTCACATAGTTCTCATGCCATGGTTTGCAGCTCCATCAGGTCATTTAAGAACTTCTCTGCATTGGCTATTCTAGTTAGCCATTCGTCTAATCTTTTGTCAAGGTTTTTAGCTTCTTTGTGATGGGTTCCAACTTCCTCCTTTAGCTCGGAGAATTCTGATCATCTGAAGCCTTCTTCTCTCAACTCATCAAAGTCATTCTCTGTCCAGCTTTGTTCCATTGCTGGGGAGGAGCTGCATTCCTTTGGAGGGGGAGAGGTGCTCTGATTTTTAGAATTTTCAGCTTTTCTGCTCTGTTTTTTTCCCCATCTTTGTGGTTTTATCTACCTTTGGTCTTTGATGATGGTGACGTACAGATGGGTTTTTGGTGTGGATGTCCTTTCTGTTTGTTAGTTTTCCTTCTAACAGTCAGGACCCTCAGCTGCAGGTCTGTAGGAGTTTGCTGGAGGTCCACTCCAGACCGTTTGCCTGGGTATCAGCAGCAGAGGCTGCAGAACAGTGAATATTGCTGAACAGCAAATGTTGCTGCCTGATCGTTCCTCTGGAAGCTTCATCTCAGGGGTACCTGGCTATGTAAGGTGTCAGCCTGCCCTTACTGGGGGTTGCCTCCCAGTTAGGCTACTCGGGGATCAGGGACCCACTTGAGGAGGCAGTCTGTCCGTTCTCAGTTCTCAAACTCCGTGCTGGGAGAACTGCTACTGTCTTCAAAGCTATCAGACAGGGACATTTAAGTCTGCAGAGATTTCTGCTGCCTTTTGTTTGGCTATGCCCTGCCCCCGGAGGTGGATTCTAGAGGCAAGCAGTCCTTGAGCTGTGGTGGACTCCACCTAGTTTGAGCTTCCAGGTGGCTTTGTTACCTACTCAAGCCTCAGCAATGGCGGGCACCCCTCCCCCGCCAGCCTCACTGCCGCCTTGCAGTTCGATCTCAGACTGCTGTGCTAGCAATGAGTGAAGCTCCGTGAGCGTGGGACCCTCCAAGCCAGGTGCGGAATATAATCTCATGTTGTGCCATTTGCTAAGGCCATTGGAAAAGTGCAGTATTAGGGTGGGAGTGACCCGATTTTCCAGGTGCTGTTTGTCACAGATTCCCTTGGCTAGGAAAGGGAATTCCCTGACCCCTTGCATTTCCCAAGTGAGGCAATGCCTTGCCCTGCTTTGGCTCACACTCAGTGGGCTGCACCCACTGTCCTGCACCCACTATCCAACAAGCCCCAGTGAGATGAACCCAGTACCTCAGTTGGAAATGCAGAAATCACCCATCTTCTGCATCGCTCGCACTGGGAGCTGTAGACTGGAGCCATTTCTATTTGGCCATCTTGGAACCCCACCCCTGATTTTTGCTCATTGATTTTGTGTCCTGAGACTTTGCTGAAGTTGCTTATCAGCTTAAGGAGATTTTGGACTGAGACTTTGGGGTTTTCTTTTTTTTTTTTTTTTTTTTTTTTTGAGACGGAGTCTCGCTCTGTCACCCAGGCTGGAGTGCAGTGGCGGGATCTCGGCTCACTGCAAGCTCCGCCTCCCAGGTTCACGCCATTCTCCTGCCTCAGCCTCCCAAGTAGCTGGGACTACAGGCGCCCGCCACTACGCCCGGCTAATTTTTTTGTATTTTTAGTAGAGACGGGGTTTCACCGTTTTAGCCGGGATGGTCTCGATCTCCTGACCTCGTGATCCGCCCACCTCGGCCTCCCAAAGTGCTGGGATTACAGGCGTGAGCCACCGCGCCCGGCCGGGGTTTTCTAAATATACAATCATGTCATCTGCCAACAGGACAATTTGACTTTCTCTTTTCCTAATTGAATACCCTTTATTTCTCTCTCTTGCCTGACGGCCCTGGCCAAAACTTCCAACACTGTGTTGAATAGGAGTGGTAAGAGAGGGCATCCCTGTCTTGTGCCAGTTTTCAAAGGGAATGCTTCCAGTTTTTCTTATTCCGTATGAGATTGGCTGTGGGTTTGTCATAAATAGCCCTTAATATTTTGAGATACATTCTGTTGATACCTAGTGTTTTGAGAGTTTTTAGCATGAAGCGCTGTTGAATTTTCTCGAAGGCCTTTTCTGCATCTATTGAGATAATCATGTGGTTTTTGTCGTTGCTTCTGTTTATGTGATGGATTAGGTTTATTGATTTGTGTACATTGAACCAGCCTTGCATCCCAAGGATGAAGCCAACTTGATCATGGTGGATAAGCTTTTTGATGTGCTGCTGGGTTCGGTTTGCCAGTATTTTATTGAGGATTTTCGCATTGATGTTCGTCAGGGATATTGGCCTAGAATTCTCTTTTTGTTGTTGTTGTTGTTGTTGTATCTCTGCCAGGCTTTGGTATCAGGATGATGCTAGCATCATGGAATGAGTTAGAGAGGATTCCCTCTTTTTCTATTGAATGGAATTGTTTCAGAAGGAATGGTACCAGCTCCTCTTTGTACCTCTGGTAGAATTGAGCTGTGAATCCACCTCGTCCTGGACTTTTTTTGGTTGGTAAGCAATTAATTATTGCCTCATTTTCAGGACCTGTTACTGGTCTATTCAGAGATTCAAATTCTTCCTGTTTTAGTCTTGGGAGCATGTATGTGTCCAGGAATTTATCCATTTCTTCTAGATTTTCTAGTTTATTTGCATAGAATTGTTTATAGTATTGTCTGATGGTAATTTGTATTTCTGTGGGATCAGTAGTGATATCCCCTTTAGCATTTTTTTATTGCGTCTATTTGATTCTTCCCTCATTTCTTCTTTATTGGTTTTGCTAGCGGTCTATTTATATTGTAGATTCTTTCAAAAAAAAAAAAACCAGCTCCTGGATTCATTGATTTTTTTGAAGGGTATTTTGTGTCTCTATCTCTGTCATTTCTGCTCTGATCTTAGTTATTTCTTGCCTTGTGCTAGCTCTTGAATGTGTTTGCTCCTGGTTCTCTAGTTCTTTTTATTGTGATGTTAGGGTGTCCATTTTAGATCCTTCCTGCTTTCTCTTGTGGGCATTTAGTGCTATAAATTTCCCTCTCCACACTGTTTTAAGTGTGTCCCAGAGATTCTGATACATTATGTCTGTGTTCTCATTGGTTTCAAAGAACATCTTTATTTCTGCCTTCATTTCGTTATGTACCCAGTAGTCATTCAGGAGCAGGTTTTTCAGTTTCCATGTAGTTGTGTGGTTTTGAGCGAGTTTCTTAATCCTGAATTCTAATTTGATTGCACTGTGGTCTGAGAGACAGTTTCTTGTGTTTTCTGTTCTTTTGCATTTGCTGAGGAGTGTTTTACTTCTCATTATATGGTCAATTTTAGAATAAGTACGATATGCTGAGAAGAATATATATTCTGTCGATTTGGGGTGGAGAGTTCTGTTGATGTCTATTAGGTCTGGTTGGTCCAGAGCTGAGTTCAAGTCCTTGATATCCTTGTTAACCTTCTGTCTCGTTGATCTAATATTGACAGTGGGGTGTTAAAGTCTCCCATTATTATTGTGTGGGAGTCTAAGTCTCTTTGTAGCTCTCTAAGGACTTGCTTTATGAATCTGGGTGCTTTTGTATTGGGTGCATACCTATTTAGGATAGTTAGCTCTTCTTGTTGAATTGATCCCTTTACCATTATGTAATGGCCTTCTTTGTCTCTTTTGATCTTTGTTGGTTTAAAGTCTATTTTATCAGAGACTAGGATTGCAACCCCTGCCTTTTTTTGTTTTCCATTTGCTTGGTAGATCTTCCTCTATCCCTTTATTTTGAGCCTGTGTGTGTCTTTGCACATGAGATGGGTCTCCTGAGTACAGTACACCAATGGGTCTTGACTCTTTATCCAGTTTGGCAATCTGTGTCTTTTAATTGGGGCATTTAGCCCATTTACATTTAAGGTTGATATTGTTATGTGTAAATTTGATCCTGCCATTATGACGTTAGCTGGTTATTTTGCCCGTTAATTGATGCAGTTTCTTCATAGCGTCAATGGTGTTTACAATTTGGTATGTTTTTGCAGTGTCTGGTGCTAGTTGTTCCTTTCCATGTTTAGTGCTTCCTTTAGAAGCTCTTGTAAGGCAGGCCTGGTGTTGACAAAATCTCTCAGCATTTGCTTGTCTATAAAGGATTTTATTTCTCCTTCACTTACGAATCTTAATTTGGCTGGATATGAAATTCTGGATTGAAAATTCTTTTCTTTAGGAATGTTGAATATTGGCCCCCACTCTCTTCTGGCTTGTAGGGTTTCTGCCAAGAGATCCACTGTTAGTCTGATGGGCTTCCCTTTGTGGGTAACCGTACCTTTCTCTCTGGCTGCCCTTAATATTTTTTTCTTCATTTCAACTTTGGTGAATCTGACAATTATGTGTCTTGCGGTTGCTCTTCTCGAGGAGTATCTTTGTGGTGTTCTCCGTATTTCCTGAATTTGAATGTTGGCCGTCTTTGCTAGGTTGGGGAAGTTCTCCTCAATAATATCCTGAAGAGTGTTTTCTAACTTGGATCCATTCTCCCAGTCACTTTCAGGTACAGTACACTAATCAGACATAGATTTGGTCTTTTCACATAGTCCCATATTTCTTGGAGGCTTTGTTCATTTCTTTTCAGTTTTTTTTCCTCTAATTTTGTCTTCTCGCTTTATTTCATTAATTTAATCTTCAATCACTGATATCCTTCCTTTCTTCCACTTGATCCAGTCGGCTATTGAAGCTTGTGCGTGCGTCACGAAGTTCTCGTGCTGTGGTTTTGAACTCCATGAGGTCATTTAAGGACTTCTCTACACTGTTTATTCTAATTAGCCATTCGTCTAACCTTTTTTGAAGGTTTTTAGCTTCTTTGCAATGGATTAGAACATTCTCCTTAGCTCAGTGAAGTTTTTTATTACCAACCTTCTGAAGTCTACTTCTGTTAATTTGTCAAACTCATTCTCCATCCAGTTTTGTTCCATTGCTGGCGAGGAGCTGCAGTCCTTTGGAGGAGAATAGGCACTCTGGTTTTTGGAATTTTCAGCTTTTCTGCTCTGGTTTCTCCCCATCTTTGTGGTTTTATCTACCTTTGGTCTTTGATGTTGGTGACCTACGATGAGGTTTTGGTGTGCATGTGCTTTTTGTTGATGTTGATGCTATTCCTTTCTGTTTGTTAGTTTTCCTTCTAACAGTCGGGCTTCTTCGCTGCAGGTCTTTTGGAGGTTGCTGGAGGTCCACTTCAGACCCTGTTTGCCTAGGAATCACCAGCGGAGGCTGCAGAACAGCAAATATTGCTGCCTGATTTTTGCTCTGGAAGCTTTGTCCTAAAGGGGCAACCCCCTGTATGAGGTGTCTCTTGGCCCCTACTGGGAGGTGTCTCCCAGTTAGGCTACTCGGGGGTCAGGGACCCACTTGAGGAGGCAGTCTGTCCCTTCTCAGAGCTTGAACACCATGCTGGGAGAACGACTCTCTCTTCAGAGCTGTCAGACAGGGACGTTAAGGTCTGCCAAAGCTGTCTGCTGCCATTTTTTCTGATATGCCCTGCCCAGAGAGGTTGGATCTAGAGAGGCAGTAGGCCTTGCTGAGATGTGGTGGACTCCACCCATTTCGAGCTTCCAGGCCTCTTTGTTTACACTGTCAGCACAAAACCGCCTCCTCAAGCCTCAGCAATTGCGGATACCCCTCCACCTGCCAAGCTGCAGCTCATGGCAGGTCAATCTCAGACTGCTGCGCTAGCAGTGAGCAAGGCTCCGTTGGCTTGGGACCTGCTCAGCCAGGCACGGGAGGATATTTCCTGGTCTGCCGATTGCAAAGACTTGGGGAAAAGCGCAGTATTTAGGCAGGAGTGTACCACTCCTCCAGGTACAGACTGTCACGACTTCCCTTGGCTAGGAAAGGAAAATCCCCCGATCCCTTGTGCTTCCCGGGTGAAGCAACGCCCCACCCTGCTTTGGTTTGCCCTCCATGCACTGCACCCACTGCCCAACCCGCCACATTGAGATGAACCAGGTACCTCAGTTGGAAATGCAGAAATCACCCATCTTCTGTGTCGATCTTGCTGGGAGCTGTAGACCAGAGCTGTTCCTATTTGGCCATCTTGGAACTTAACTCTTACAAAGACGTACAGAGTGTTATAATGGGCATTGGAGACTCAGAGGGAGGAAGGATAGGAGGGCAGTGAGGGATGCAAAACTACCTATTGGGTACAATGTACACTGCTTGGGTGATGGGTACACTAAAATTCACTGTTGAGTGAGAATGCAAATTAGTACAACCTATATGGAAACAGTATGGAGATTTCTCAAAGAACTGAAAGTAGAAATATCATTTCATCCAGCAATCCCACTACAGGATATCTACCCAAAGGAAAAGAAGTCATTATATTAAAAAGATACCTGCACACATGTTTATCACAGTATCATTCAGAATTGCAAAGACATGGAATCAACCTTAGTGCCCATCAACCAATGAATGAAGAAAATTGAGTGTGTGTGTGTGTGTGTGTGTGTATCTATATATACACACACACCATAGAATACTACTCAGCCATAAAAAAGAATGAGGACATCTTCCTAAGTGAAGTAACTCAGGAACGGAAATCCAAGTGCCACATATTGTCACTTATAAGTGGGAGCTAAGCTGTGCGTACACAGAGGCATGCAGAGTGGTATAATGGACATTGGAGACTCGGAGGGAGGACAGGAGGATGGGGAGGGATGAAAAACTATCTGTTGGGTACAATGTACACTACTTGGGTGATGGGTACACTAAAATCCTGGACTTCACCATTACACAATGTATCCATGTAACAACAACAACAAAAAAATCACTTGTACCCCTAAAGCTATTGAAATAAAAACATTAAAAGAAATAGGTCGGACATGGTGGCTCACACCTGTAATCCCAGCACTCTGGGAGGCCAAGGTGGGCAGATCACGAGGTCAGGAGATTGAGACCATCCTGGCTAATATGGTGAAACCCCATCTCTACTGAAAATACAAAAAAAATTAGCCAGGCATTGTGGCGGGCGCCTGTAGTCCCATCTACTTGGGAGGCTGAGGCAGGAGAATGGCGTGAACCGGGAGGTGGAGCTTGCAGTGAGCCAAGATCACGCCACTGCACTCCAGCCTGGGCAACAGAGCGAGACTCCATCTCAATAGATAAATAAATAAATAAATAAATAAATAAATAAATAAATAGATATGAGCTATTAAGCTATGAAAAGATGAAAAAAGTTGCAAAAGTTTAAAGATAGTCATTGCATTGTTTAAAGTTATTTTAAAAAAACAAATAATACACACTTGTTTGCATAAAGAAAAAGTTGTCTATGAATTCCACCACCCAGAGATGACTATTAACAGTGTCTGTCTACCTGTATACACATTTTTTACAATGTTGTTTAGAGTGAAAAATTGTAGACAACCTGAAAGTCTGTCAATAGGAAATTAGTTAAGTAAATTACACTTCACCATTGAAAAGTGTTCACCTTATATGATTCAGTTTAAAGAGTAGGCCAAGCAACTATAAAGTAGTTTTCCCCTACTTCCTTCAAAAAAATATGAAAACTTGAACATTAAGACTCTATAAAAACTGCCAATTTTTTGCAGACAATAGAGGGAAAAAGAGCATGTTAAGTGTCCATGTAGGTGCTAGTAGAAAAATGAAGACTTTGGAAAAGAAACTCTGTAGGACAACTGACCCAGTTTCTTTAAAAATAAAATTGCAGATAGGAAACAAGATGGTAGGGGGAGCTTGAAAATAGATTTGAGACACACCGGGTATTTGTAACGTACAGACCTTACTTGGATTTCTATTCAAACCAAATTTTAAGAAGTATATTGCCAATGTATTAATATTTGTTGAAGCTAGGTGATAGCTAAATGGAATTCATTACACCTCTCTACTTTTGTATATGTTTGAAACTGTCTATAAAATTTTTTTTTAAAGCAGTTTACAAAACAAGGTAATGTTTTGTCAGTGTATAGCTGGAGTTAGAAAGTTACAGGTGTTTTTCTTTTTTTTCTTTAATTTCTGTTTTTTCTATGACTTCCAATGGGTTTTTATTTTTAAATCATAATTGGAATAATTATTATACACTTTAAATATTGAAACATCTTCAGTGTCCAGCATGAATTTATCTTTACCTTTTATGTAAGTGTATGTTCTCAAGTTTTTCAAGATTATTTATAATACATTTATATTCTACTTTTAATCCCAAATATATTCATGAAGTCTACTTGAATTGTTAGGAATTCAGAGATAATAATATTGACATTTGTGTATAATTTTATATTCTTGTTTCAGATTCCCAAATGCTGGAAAATCCTCTTTGCTAAGTTGTGTTTCTCATGCAAAACCTGCAATTGCAGATTACGCATGTAAGTGTAATTTGATTGTACATTTTAATGAGTGGAGGTAAACTTTTAAAGACTAATATTTCTCTGAGAATGAATAAAATGATAACTCGGAGGGTATCCTTAACTGAAAAATTTTTGGCAGATAGACTACTGTTGCACAGGCCAAAGTGCAGTTGCATGATCATGGCTCACTGCAGCCCAGGCTCAAGCCATCCCCCTGCATCAGCCTCCCATGTAGATGGGACTACAGGTATGTGCCACCATGCTTGGCTAACTTTTTTTTTTTTTTTGTGGGGACAGGGGTTTCGCCATGTTGCCCAGGCTGGTCTTGAACTCCTAGGCTCAAGTGATCTCCCACCTTGGCCTTCTAAATTGCTGGGTTATAGGTGTGAGCCACCCTCCCCAGCCATATTTTCCATTAATCTTTGAAACCTCTATACCCCTCAGCAAAGTTGCTTAAACAGGTTAGACACTTACTTTATTGCATTTATTTTTCTGTCACAGAATCGTTTATTTGGTTTAGTTAGGATTTTATGAACCACTTACCTTTTATCAGGCACTGTGATAAGTACCAGGAAGGTACTTATCATTCATTTAGCAGATACTTATTTTTGGAGCCACATTAGGTTCTGGGATTACAAAGACTGATAAACAGAAACAGCTCCTGTTTTGACTTGTATTGAGTTTGTAGACTAGTGGAGTAAGGCGTACATATCACTAATAAATATAAGGGAATATGAAAGGGTACTATGAAAGAGTATAGATGACTGCTCTAGGCTTCCTTAAGGATGTGTGATTTTTGGACTGGGATATGAGGAATAATTATGAGGTAATTAGTAAAATAGAGTGGAGGGTGAAGGGTCTTTAATCAGAGGAAATAGTATGTACACAAAGCCTTAGTGGTGGCAGGGAGTAGATTTGTGTGTCTAGAGAACATGAAATAAGGGAAAGAATCGAGATGAGCCTGGAGATGTAAGAGAGCATGTCACATAGACCATTTAGGCTGTATTTGATTTTTATATCTTAAGAGCAATTGGAAGCATTTAAGCAAGGGATAAAATGCTTAGGTTTGCTCCTCACAGAGATCTCGGCCTGTAATGTAGAAAATGGATTGGTGTGGGACATGAAGGGTCTGAGACAACCAGTTAGTAGGCTCTTGTGGTAGCTAGATGAGATATAAAAGAAGCTTTGGTTAAAAGTAGTGAGTATGATAAGATCTCTGCCATCATTAAAAGGACACAGAATGCCATTAACTTGGAAAATAAAATCAAGCCATTCTAAAATTAGACTGTGACGAAGTAGAGTGAAGTTTGGACTAAGTGCTATAAATCACAAGGCCAATATTTGTTATAATATATGTAGGACTTGAGAAGGAAGAGCAAAAAGTCATAGGAAAGAGGCTAGCGTAGGATTGATGAGGCTTAAGGATAACAATGAGAAGGAACTAGAGGATAACTGAATGAGAAGGAACTAGAAAAATTTCAGCCACAGATCCAGTGATAGAAACTTAATATCTGACCCTCCTGAACATCTATCACTCACCTTAAAGTGCAATAGAAGAACGTTGAGGTTCAGTAATTACATTAGGCCTATACAGATTATAAAAATCTGTGTTTGTCTTTTTCCAAATACTATTTATTCATTTATTTTAGAGACAGGGTCTAGCTATGTCACCCAGGCAGGAGTACAGTGGCATGATCATACCTCACTGTAACTTTGAACTCCTGGGCTCAAGCAATCCTCCCACCTCAGCCTCTGGAGTAGCTAGGACTACAGGTGCACTGCCATGTCTGCCTAGTTTTACATTTTTTGTAGAAACAGGGTCTCACTATGCTGCCCAGGCTCATCTTGAACTCCTAGCTTCAAATGATCCTCCTGCCTTGGCTTCCCAAAGCATTGGGATTACAGACATGAGCCACAACATTTGGCCCTCCAAGTACATATTAAATAGCAAAGATAATAATAGTTTCCATTTTAGCAAATTAGAACAAAATCTGAATTGAAATATTGTTTATGCATAATACCAAGACAGTTTTGAGAGTACCAGCCCTAAAATAAATTCTAGCCTTAATTTATTGCTGTGTTTCCTTTTAGTTACAACATTAAAGCCTGAACTTGGAAAGATAATGTACAGTGATTTCAAACAGGTAGGTATTTTTAAAGTAAAACACTATATTAGAAGTCAAAAGTACTTGGTTTTGGTACGTACTTGGATATTATAGTTTTTGCCTGTTTCTGTGGTGTTAGGGGAGAAAAAGTAACAAGATTTTGTTTATGCTAAGTGAAACTGGTCAAATTAATTCTGAGCACTATCATAATATATTTAATTTCTTCTTCCAAAGATTAGGTCCAGTTTATCCCTACAACATTATGTCTTCTTCTTAGCCTTAGTTTCTTCTTATTGCAAGTCTTTCTTTTACTACTATATTGGATTATTTATCTTCATTTTTTAAAAATGCTCTCTAAAGTTCATGGTAATGATTTTATTCCAACTTTTCTTTTTTTGAGAAAGAAAATGTTTTAATGGAGTTTTGGTCTCAACCAGCTATTAAAATTCATTTTTTCCTTCACAAGTAACAACAGTGGATCTTCTGTATAATTAGAAAAAAACTAAAAAAAGGAAAGTAACAATATTTAAAATATAATGTACAATCTAGTAGTTGTGCTCCTTAGCATTTACCCATGTACATTGAAAAGTTATGCACACACAGAAGTCTGCACATGGATGCTTATAGCAGCTTTATTTGTAATTACCAAACCTTGGCCAAGATATCTTTCAGTAGGTGAATGGGTAAATAAACTGTGATATATATTTAGACAGTGGATTATTATTCAGCTCTAAAAAGAACTGGGCTATCAAGCCTCAAAAAGACCTAGGGGAACCTTAAATGCGTAATACTAAGTGAGAGAAGCCAATCTGAAAAGACTGTGTGATACTGTATGATTCTAACTATATGACATTCTGGATAAGGCAAAGCTGTGGAGACAGTAAAAAAAAAAAATGAATGATTTCCAGGGTTAGGGAGGAAGGAGAGATGAATAAGCAGAGTACAGAGAACTTTTAGGGTACACTATAAAGTACAATACATATAGTAAAGTATGATACTATATAATATTACAGCAACATTGTGTTGCTGTAATGGTAGACACAGTATACATTTGTTAAAATCCATAGAATGTACAGCACCAAGAATGCAACAATGTAAAGTATAGACTTTGGGTGCTAACGATGCATCAATATGGGTTCATACAGTTTTATGACATAATTTAAAGAAACATAAAAAAGTATTTGGTTATAATAGTGATAATAACAGTAAAAGATAAAACCAGTTATAATATAGAATGTTAACTGTAAGTAAAATTGTATTAAATATAGGATAATATGAATATATAGAACAATATTTAGAGGAAAAGAGAACATCATTTATACCGAATTTTTAAGGGAAATCAGTAGAGGAAATTTCAGGACATGAGACTTCTGTTGTGCATGCTGCTTTGTCAGCTTCCTTTAAGACCCTGAATTATTTATCTACACTGGGCAAGGGATGTCGAGTACTGCCTCTCATTCTTTATTGCACTTCAGAATTATCTGGGTGGTCTAAGAACAGCAATGATGAGTGATGCTTAGGCCCCAGAGATTTGAAACTAAATCTCTTGGGGGTAGGGCCTGGGCATTTGTAGCTTCTAAGAGTTCCCTACGTGATTATGATGCACAGTGAGGTTTGAAAAGCACAAGTGGCCGGGTGTGGTGGCTTACACCTGTAATCCCAGCACTTTGGGAGGCCAAGGCAGGCAGATCACGAGGTTAGGAGATCGAGACCATCCTGGCTAACATGGTGAAACCCTGTCTCTACTAAAAATACAAAAAAAAAAAAAAATTAGATGGGTGTGGTGGTGGGTGCCTGTAGTCCCAGCTACTCCAGAGGCTGAGGCGGGAGAATGGCGTGAACCTGGGAGGTGGAGCTTGCAGTAAGCCAAGATTGCCCCACTCCACTCCAGGCTGGGCGACAGAGCGAGACTCTCTCAAAAAAAGAAAAGAAAAGCACAAGTGTAAAATGATGGTTAATAATGATTATTCCCTCTAAAAGGAGTCTAGGAAACTGTATTCTTTTATTATGTTGGTACAAAAGTAACTGTGGTTTTGGCCATTAAAAGTAATGGCCAAAAGTAGGAGAAAGTAGGAGAGCCACAACTACAACTTGGGTTTGTCGAGTGCTGTTTCACCTGACTGATCTTACTTGAATACTGGCACAAAATGAGATGATGACAAGGTGACAAGGAAGCATGCTCAGGTGAATGAACTTCTAGATGATAGAACTCTGCTCCTCATGTAATGCCATGAGATTTGCTTAAGTATAAACAATAATGACCTACAAAAATGTGAAGCATTAACAAACATGGCACTGCAAAGAACAGGTGAGGAGAATCACACCTCTATTAATGTAGTAAAGTCTCTTAAAAGTAATGCCAAAACCACAGTTACTTTTATACCAACCTAATACTTTGTAAGAATGGTCGATAATCCTGCTAGTATAATATGAACAGAAAAGGAACAATTGGTGCCAAATAAATAATTACAAATTGAATTTAAAATACAGAGCTGTACCTGGTAAATGTCTGCTGAATTAATAACCTCATAGATTTTTACGAATTTGGAGTATAAAGGTTGAAATTCTGTGAAAAGTTCATATTGGACAATACCATTTAGGAAATTATAAATAAATTTTAAACTAGGGATTAGTGTGGTGGCTCACGCCTGTAATCCCAGCACTTTGGGAGGCTAAGGTGAGAGGATCACTTGAGGATAGGAGTTTGAGAGCAGCCTGTGCAAGATAGCGAGACCCTGTCTCTACTAAAATTTTTTTAGTTAACTGGGCATGGCGGTACGCACCTGGAGTCTTAGCTACTTGGGAGACTGAGGTGGGAACATAGCTTGAGCCCAGGAGTTTGAGGCTACAGTGATCTATGGTCACACCACTGCACTCCAGCCTGGGTGACAGAGCAAGATCCTGTCTCTAAAATAATAATAATAAATAAATAAACAAATGTTAAACTAATCTGTAAAATTCCTAGATTATTAGATTAATAGTAAATATGGGACTCTAATATCTGATAACAAAATTTTAATTCTTAATACTGTACATTAATTTTACTCTTATACTTGGCTTTTCAAAGATGTAGTGGTAATCATAAGTTAGGAACTGTTTATATTTGAAATATCTTAAAAATTTTGGGATGTAATTGAACTTGCGGTTTTCATACATTTTCCTTTTTCATTAACCATTTAACTTTGTATTAGATATCAGTAGCTGATCTTCCGGGTTTAATAGAAGGAGCACATATGAACAAAGGAATGGGCCACAAATTCCTCAAGCATATAGAAAGAACTAGACAACTACTTTTTGTTGTAAGTCATATGTATACTAATGTGATATTCAAATAAATTGAAAACCAGTGAATTTAGTTTTTCTAGAATTTTTTTATAAATAAGAAAGTGGTAGCATATGTTACTCCACTAAGTCTTTTATAATATGGGGATGGAAGTGACATTGTTTACTATATCATATGTAAGTTTGGCCATACTTGCCAACATGTATTTCCTTAAGATTTCCAGCATACTACCATATTATATAGTATCATAGTATCTCTTTCATTCTTCACTGATGATGCTAGAGTTATATATGAGATTGTCTTCATACAAATTGTCTTATCCTAGTTTTTTATTTTATTAATAACTGTAATTTTATCAGAATAATTAAAGTTATCTTAACACCTCGATTTCTGTTACTTATTTTGAATTACTAAGTAACAAGTAGAGTATAGAGAAATTGTTTTTAGCTTGAGAGAGTAAAACATTTTAAAACATAGAAATGTATAGCTATTCTTCGTATGTTAAAGGCTGTCTCTTTCCTTCTCTTTTTTTTAGGTTGATATTTCTGGATTTCAGCTTTCTTCTCACACTCAATACAGGACAGCTTTTGAAACCATAATACTGCTTACAAAAGTAGGTTTTCTGTTTTACTGTGTTCTGTATTTGGTCTAATACATAGGAATGTAAGACTATATGAAATAACATAATTACAGTCTATACATACTCCACCTTTAAAGCTTTGATGTCAGTTAAAGAATTACTTAAACTTGTTGTCTCCATTTCCTCTACATTCATTTGCTCCTCAAACTACTGCAGTGGATAAAACACTCCTGGGCTTCCAAATCCCCATTACATACTTCCCAGGTTTTTATCTTGCTTCAGCTTTGGCACATTGTTTAATTCCTCTTGTTTCTCATTCTTAGTTTTGTGACCGGTAATCTTCTGGTTCTATTTCTACTCTTACACTATTTCTCCGTCTACTTTTTAGGCTCTTTTTTCTCATCCTTTAAGTAACATTATTCAGAGTTCTGTCCTAACCTTATTTTCTATCTTACTCACTCCCGTTGCTTTAGTTACAATTAATAATATTGATGACTGCCAGATCTGTAGCTGATACCTAAATCTTTTCATTGTTCTTTCTTTTTTTTTGAGACAGAGTCTTGCTCTGTCTGCCAGGCTGTAGTGCAGTGGCATGATCTCGGCTCTCTCTGTCTCCCGGGCTCAAGTGATTCTCCTGCCTCAGCCTCCCGAGTAGCTGGGATTACAAGCGTGTGCCACCACGCCCGGCTAATTTTTGTATTTTTAGTAGAGACAGGGTTTCACCATGTTGGCCAGGCTGGTCTCAAACACCTGACCACAGGTAATCCACCCACCTTGGCCTCCCAGAGTGTTGGGATTACAGGTGTGGGCCATTGCACCTGGCCTTTGTTGTTCTTTAGACCAGATGCCCATCGGACATCTTCTTTGACTAGATGTCCCATTAGTCACTTAAACTTAATATGGATAAAAGTAAACTTTTAAAAAACTTTTCGGCCATCCCCATAACTTAGTGAATGTGTAAGCTATGATATACTGATTCTTCTCACCACCTACACAAGCCCTGTCAGTTTTTTATCCTAAATCTCTCTGAAATCCATCCTCTTGTCTTTATCTACGCTGTTATAATCATCAGCCCTTCTTATTGGAATATTGAATCTGGTCCTTTCCATTCTCCCTGTGTCCTGCCTTGCTTCTCTCCAGTCCATTTTTTATATGGCAGCTAGAGTGATCTTTGTAAAAGCACCAAGCTGATGCTGATGTTCCCTGCCTAAAACACTTTGATAGACCCCCATAGCTGTTAGGTTAAAGTCTAACCTGAGCATGATTTATGAAATCTGCAAGTTTAGGCCCCTACCTAGCAGTCCTCCTCTGTAACCCTCTCCCCTAGATGCTATATTTCAGCCATGTGATTTCTCTCTAAGACAACATGGTATTGCCTTACCTCCAGGATTTTATAGATCCTATTTCATTTGCCACTTTTTGTCTATAATGAATAATACTGCTGTGAACATTTGTATGCAGGTTTTTGTATAGACATGTTTTCATTTCTCTTGGATGTATACTTAGGAGTGGAATTGCTGGATCAGATAATAATGCTTTGTTTAACATTTTGAGGAACTGCCAAACTATTCTGAATTGGTAGCACCATTGTGCCATTTTACAGTCCCACCATCAATGTATGTTCCAATTTTTCCACATGAATGTCAACACTTGTTATTGTCTGTCGTTTTTACTTTAGTCATCCTAGTGGGAGTGCAGTGGTATTTTGTTATAGTTCTTATTTGCATTTCTCTTAAGACTAATGATGCTAAGAATCTTTTTATGTGCTTATTAGGCATTTCTGTGTCTTTGGAGAAAAGTCTGTTCAGATTCTGTGTGCATTACTATTTGTATTATTTGTCTTTTAATTGTTGAGTTATAAGCATGTTTTGTATTTTTGGAAATAAGTCCCTTCTCTTTTTTTTTTTTTTTTTTTTTTGAGATGGAGTCTCACTCTGTCGCCTGGGCTGGAGTGCGGTGGCACAGTCTCGGCTTAATGCAACCCCCACCTCCCAAGTTCAAGTGATTCTCCAGCCTCAGCCTCCCCAGTAGCTGGGATTACAGGCATGTGCCACCACGCCCATCTAATTTTTGTATTTTTAGTAGAAACAGGGTTTCACCATGTTGGCCAGGCTGGTCTTGAACTCCTGACCTCAGGTGATCCGCCCACCTGGCTTCCCAGAGTGCTGGGATTACAGACGTGAGCCACCATGCCCAGCTGGAAATTAAGTCCCTTCTAAGATACATAATTTGAAAATATTTTCTCCCCTTCTGTGACTTGTCTTTTCACTTTTTCAGTGTATTTTTTCTGTATTCTTTGTGGCACAAAACTATTATTTATTTATTTAATTTTCCAGTTTTATTAAAGTGTAATTGACATAAAAATTGTGTGTACTTAAAGTGTACAAGTGATATTTGGATATATGTTTACCTTGTGAAATGATTGAATCAAGCTAATTAACATGATCCATCATCTTACATACTATTTTATGTGTGTTGAGAATATTTAAAATCTGTTTTAGCAATTTTCAAATATATAATACATTAACTATAGTCATCATACTGTAAAATAGATCTTCAGGGCTTATTCATCCTATTTAATTGAATCTTTGTTCCATTTGACCAACACCCCTCCATCTTCCTCCCCCAAGCACCCTGGCAACCACCATTTTCTCTGCTACTATGAATTCAACCTTTTAAGATTCCACATATAAGTGGGATTATGCAGTATTTTTTTTTCTGTGCTTGGCTTATTTCACTTAGCATAGTGTTCTCCAGGTTCATCCATGTTGTTATAAACGACAAGATTTTCTTTTTTTAAGGCTGAATAATATTCAGTTGTGTGTGTGTATACCACATTTTCGTTATTCATCCATTGATGGACACTGAGGTTGATTCCATGTCTCGGCTATTGTGAATAATGTTTCAGTAAAAATGGGAATGCAGAGATCTCTTTGACATACTGATTTTATTTCCTTTGGATATATACCCAGAAGTGGGATTGCCGGATCATATGGTAGTTCTATTTTTAATTTTTTGAGAAATCTTTATACTGCTTTTTACAATGGCTGTACTAATTTACATTCCCACTCAACGGTGTTCAAGAGTTCCTCTTTCTCCATATCCTTGACAACACTTGTTATCTTTTGTCTTTTTGATAATAGCCATCCTTCCAAGTGTGAGGAGCTATCTCATTGTGGTTTTTCTTTTCATTTCCCTAATGATCAGTGATGTTGAACATTTTTTCATACATATATTGGTCATTTGTTTGTTGTTGAGAAATGTCAATTCAGGTTCTTTATCCATTTTTAAATCAGGTTTATATTACCCAAAGTGATCTACGGATTCAGCACAATCCATATCAAAATTCTAATGGCATTTTTCACAGAAATAGAAAACAAATCTTAAAATTTGTATGGAACATCAAAAGACCCTGAATAGCCAAAGCAATCTTATCTTGAGCAAAAGGAACAAAGCTGGAAGCTTCACACTACCTAATTTCAAAACCTACTACAAAGCTATCATAATCAAAACAGCGTGGTACTGGCATAACAGTAGACACATAAACCAATGGAACAGAATCCAGAGCTCAGAATTAAATCCATGCATTTACAGTTAATTTTCGACAAAGGTACCTAGAACACACAGTAAGGAAAGGACAGTTTTCTTCGTCAATAAGTGATACTGAGAAAACTGAATATCCACATGCAGAGAAATGAAATTAGATCCTTACTTCACACCATATAAAAAATCAGTTCAAAGTTGATTAAAGACTTAAAGCCTGAAACCATAAAACCACTAGAAGAAAACAGAGAAGTTCCATGACATTTGTCTGAGCAATGATTTTTTTTTAATGTGACCCCAAAGCACAGGCAACAAAAAGAAAAATAGACAAGTAGGATTGCATCAAACTAAAAAGCTTCTGCACAGCAAAAGGAACAGTCAGCAGAGTGAAGAGGCAACCAAGGGAATGGGAGAAAATATTTGTAAATCATATATCTGATAAGTGGTTGATATCCAAAACATAAGGAAGCAAAACAACTCTCAATAGCAAGAAAACAACTCAAAATTTTTAATTTTCATGAAATTCCATTTGTTTCATTCTTTTCTTTCCTTTTTTAAAATTAAACTAAAATTTTGTATAGAGATGGGGTCTCGTTATGTTGTCAAGGCTTGTCTTGAACTCCTGGGCCCAAGCAATGCTCCTACCTCAGCCTCCTAAAGTGCTGAGATTACAGGCATGAGCCACCATGCCCAGTCTTACATATTTATTTATTTTTATTACAAACAGGGCTTCGCTCTGTCATGTAGGCTAGAGTGCAGACATGATCCTAGCTCATTGTAGCCTCAAACTCCTGGTGGCCTTAAGCAGTCTTCTGCCTTTTATCTATTATTTTACTTGTGCTTTTCATGTTATATCTAAGAAACAGTTGTTTAATCCAAGGTAACAAAGATTTATTCCTAAGTGCATTTACTTTTTCCAAGAATACTACAGGTATAACATTCAGTGATCATTACTGACTTCTGAATTTTATCTGTGTGAAGTCCAGATACCCATATTTGACTCTAGACGCAAAATTACAACTGTCTCTAGGATATCATTTAAGCTAAAACATACTAACACATGACTTAACCAGAGTCATTTTCTGAAATTCTTCCTTTTGTTTTCTGTTGTTGGGATTTATTGCATTTCGGTGATGTGAATGGGTTTTAGATCACCTGGGTCATTAATTACCAAATAAGTAGTTTATACAGAAACCAGTACTAAAATTATTGGGTTTTCTCTTTTGATTTAAAGGAGTTGGAATTGTACAAAGAGGAACTTCAGACAAAACCTGCACTCTTGGCAGTTAATAAAATGGACTTGCCAGATGCCCAAGATAAGTTCCATGAATTGATGAGCCAGCTCCAGAATCCTAAAGGTAAACCTATTTATTCATTTAATTCTAATTTAAAGAATAATTACAATGTACAGAGAATGCTGTTATAATCAGTGGAAAACTGACAGTTTCTGCTCTTAAAAGTCAAGTTTGAAGAAAGAATATACAAAACATGTAAATAACATTGTAACATAATAATTACCAAATTCTAGAATGTTTGATATGGACAGTAAATTAAAGGAGACAAAAGAAAGATTAATTTGAACTAAAAAGGTCAGGCTACATGAAGAATAAAACTTAAATTGGGCCCATAAGGCATATGTGGGATTTGAATAAAAGGAGGAAAAAGTCAGCATCTACCTGTGAAGTCTTTCACTTTCATTAACATACTTCACAAGCTCTTCATTCGTCTAGTACTGTACATCATAAAATTAAAGACAGAACTAAGAAGTTCTAAAGAAGTATGTTTCTTGGCAAAAGTAACTCTATAGGTTTCTGAAGAGGATGAGTCTTCTGAAAAGAACTTCATTTTTCCTGTGTATGTGTGACACAATAATAGAAGCTGTGACTCCAAAATGATTTATTTGTCTGGAATTTACTTCCTGGACTATATGTAAAGTAACTTAAAGGGATTCTCCACAGTTTTGAATATTGACATTTGCAGAACACCTTCTATCCTATGGCAATGGTGGTTTCATTCAGAGTCTAGTAGAGAACCTCATGCACAAATGAGGAAAAGTAGGGTGTATGGTATGTGGCTAACATGTTTTTCAATATGTCTCTGTTTTTATTCTTGGTAACAATTGTTGGAAAATAGATTATAGGTACTAAGACTGTCAAACAGCACCAGAAGGTCCTTTCCTCTCAAAAATCTTTCCCCTGTGTAATCTACATGTTGGAGCTGTCCTTGAGTTAATAAATTACTCATGGGATATAAATATTCTCTGATACTAAATAGCCTTCATTCCTAATGACATTTGCTTTGTATGGTCATTAGTTCTTTTTGCTAGTTGATCTTGCAGAGAAGGGAATTTTCAGAGGAAATACCGAAAGTGAGGGTGACTCAGGAGTCTGTAGCTGTTCTGACCTATCGTGAAATAAAATATAGGCCCTTTAGTGATAATCCTGAGTTATCCTCTCTGGACTTTCTTCGGGGCTTTTGAATCTCAGAAAGTAAGCTCCATGTTGTCTTCTCCACCAATCTGTTTCAGTCCAGCCTTTCTAGTTCATATCAGTTAATCCATCTAATCAGTATGCCATCTCCCCAGCCAATCAGTATGCCATGGTGACAGGGAAGAGGTAAAAGTAATATAACAATTGTTAGCCCTTGTGGGGTGATAGATTGGACTCATCTGAAATTATCTTCCCTTGAATTCTCTATAATCCCTCTTCAGTTTTTGTATGGATCCTAGCATCATTGATGATAAACCTATACTTTGGGGAAGTTAAAGGTCTCCAGTGTACTGAGGCCAAGTAGAATGTCTCAAATCATAAATGATGTTATTATTTTTACAGAAAGTATCTTTCAGAGAATCAATGCTGCCTTGCCTTATTTAACCCCCCCCACACACACAAAATTTATTACTTCCTTAAGTAAGTCATTTTTGTGATTCATCTTCTACTCATACTTAGTTTGGTTTAAAATATATTTATCTAACAAGTATGTTATGTGCCAAGAACCTTACCATAATCAATGGTAAAATCCAAAGGCTCTGAGAACTTATTAGAAAAGGTGAAAAAAGGCATGAAAAATGCTGGTGTTGGTTCCCTGCTTCACAAATCAAACCATTAACATGGTTTTAACTAACTTTCGAAAACAATGGAAATCAGCTTTGTTTGTGCTCTTTCTTTTAGATTTTCTGCATTTATTTGAAAAAAACATGATTCCAGAGAGGACTGTAGAGTTCCAACATATCATCCCCATATCTGCAGTTACTGGAGAAGGAATCGAAGAATTAAAGAATTGTATAAGAAAGTCACTGGATGAACAGGCCAACCAGGAAAATGATGCACTTCATAAGAAACAGTTGCTTAATTTGTGGATTTCTGATACAATGTCTTCTACTGAGCCACCATCAAAGCATGCTGTTACTACTTCCAAAATGGATATAATTTAAATATATTAAAAATGGTATTGATGGAACAGTATTTAATGCTTAAAAACAAGGAAATCCTTTCATCTGTGACAACCTGGAGGACATGTTAAGTAAAATAAGCCAGGCTTAGAAAGACAAATGCTGCATAATCTCACTGTGGAATCTTAAGTTGAACTCATAGAAGGAGAGAATAGAATGGTGGTTATCAAGGGCTGGTGGGGCAGTGGAGGATTGAGGAGATATTGGTCAAAATTTACAAAATTTCAGTTAGACAAGGCAACTGAGTTCAAGAGATCTGTTGTACAGCTTGGTGACTGTAATTAACAACAATGTATTTTGAAAGTCACTGAGTAAATTTTAAGTGGTTTTTCCAAAAAAGCACATAAGGTAATGCACGTTAATTAGCTATATTGAGCCATTCCACAATGTATAG